>NC_000005.10:83746170-84049200 GCF_000001405.40 Homo sapiens
TTCTTTTTACACTAGTCATTCTAGCTAAAAGTTTATCAATTTTGTTGATCTTTTCAAATAATTAACTTTTGATTATCTGGATTTTCTTTAATGTTTTCTATCCTTTATTTCATTTATTTTTATCCTCTATTATTTTCTCTATTTTGTTTAGTTTGAGTTTACGGTTCTTTTTGTAATTTTTTTTTTTTTTTGAGGAATTAATAGTCTTTATTGGGCTCAGGAGTCCCTGGGTCTTGAGGACCTCTGTGTATTTGTCAATTTTCTTCTTCATGTTCTTCTCGGCCTGTTTCTGTAGCCTCATGAGCTGTTTATTCTTCCGGTAGTGGATCTCGGCTTTCTCTTTCCTCTTTTCCTCCAGGGTGGCTGTCACTGCCTGGTACTTCCAGCCAACCTCGTGAGGCGCCCCAGATAGGCAAACTTTCTTGTAGGCTTCAGACGCATGACCTTGAGGGCAGCAGGAACCACCATCTGCTTTTTCTTGTCCTAGGGCGGTGGGATGCCGTCAAACACCTTGAGGCGGTCCAGAGCAGCCTGGCCTCACTTGGTCTTGTGGGGCAGCATGCCTTGCACAGTACGCCAGAAGATGCGGCTGGGGACCTGGAAGTGGTAGGGGCGTCGAGAAGGGTTGGTGTTCATCCGCTTGTGGAGGAAAGCCAGGTACTTCAACTTGTTTCTGCAGAAACTGCCAGAAATGTTGATGCCTTCGCAGCTTACGACCACCGCCTTCCGGCCCAGCAGTACCTGTTTAGCCACGATGGCCGCCAGGCGGCCCAGGAGATGGCCTCAACCATCAAGCACCAGGACCTGCACCTCCGCCATCTTCGGCAGCCGCTTGGGAAAGTCTTTTTGTAATTTCTTAAGGTGAAAGCTTGGTTATTTATTTATTTATTTATTTGTTTATTTTTGAGACGGAGTCTCGCTGTCACCCAAGCTGGAGTGCAGTGGCGCGATCTCGGCTCACTGAAGACTCCGCCCCCTGGGTTCACGCCGTTCAGCTTCCCGAGTAGCTGGGACTACAGGCCCCCGCCACCTCGCCCGGCTAATTTTTTGTATTTTTCAGTAGAGACGGGCTTTCACCGTTTTAGCCGGAATGGTCTCGATCTGCTGACCTCCTGATCCACCCGTCT
Organism: Homo sapiens; assembly: GCF_000001405.40. Classification (NCBI taxonomy): domain Eukaryota; kingdom Metazoa; phylum Chordata; class Mammalia; order Primates; family Hominidae; genus Homo; species Homo sapiens. Next base: position 83,747,298 of record NC_000005.10, read on the forward strand.
CGGCCTCCCATGATTTATTTTTTTTAACACGTGTTCACAGCATAGAATTTCTCTCTAAGCACTTGCATTAGCTGAGTCACATAAGCTGTAGTGTCGGTGTTTTTCTTTATGCCTCTCCAGTGAAATTTTCCTTGTGATTTCATCTGTGACCCATTGCTTATTTAGTAGTGTTGTTGAATTTTCACATTTTTGAATATCTTAAATTTCATTGTTATTGATTTCTAATTTAATTCTATTATGGCTAAAAAAATATGATTTTAAAATTTTAATTCCAGCAAATGTTCTGGGGTTTGTTTCGTGGTCCAGCATATGGTCTATTCTGGAGAATGCGCATTTGAAAAGAATGCGTTGCTTAGGGGAGTGTTTTATAGATGTCTGTTAGGTCTGGTTAGCTTGTAGTTATTAAAGTTTTCTATTTCCTTGTTGAACTTCTGCTAGATATTCTATGCTTTGAAAGTAGTATCTTGAAGTCTCCATCTGTTTTATTGTTGAACTGTCTGTTTCTCCCTCTAATTTTGTCAGTTTTGCTTCATTTATTTTGGGACACTGTTTTTAGGTGCTTATAAATTTATAATTGTTATGTGTTTCTTATCAACTGACTCTTTGACATTATAAAATGTCCCTCCTGTTCTCTAGTAACAAATTTTGTTTTAAAATCTATTTTGTCTGATATTGGCATAGCCACACCAGTTCTCTTTTAGTTACTGTTTGCATGGTACATATATTTTTTACATCAATTCACTTCAATCTATTTGTATATTTAAATATAAAGTGTGTTTCTGTAGGTATTCCATATAGGTAGGCCATTTATCTACTCTTCTAATCTCTACCTTTTGATTGGGGTGTTTAACCTATTTAATTACTGATAAAGTAGGATTTATGCTGGTCATTTTGTTATTTGCATTCTATGTGTCTTAGTTTTGTTTCTCTACCCTTTTATTTCTTCCTTCCTTTGTTTTAAATAGATGTTTTCTAGTGTACCATTTTCTTTTCCTTGCTGAGTCTTTATGTCATTTTAGTTATTTCCTTAATGTTTGCCTAGACAGTTACAAATTAACACCTTTACTTAAAACAGTCTAGTTTAGATCGCTATCAAATTAATTTGGATAGTATAAAAAAACTTTGCTCCAAAATAGATTCACTCTCTCCAATCCTTTTTGCTATTACTGTTATACGAATTGCATCTTTATGAATTATAAGCTTATCAACATAGCTTTATGATTATTGCTTTATTCAGTTATCTTTTAACTCATATAGGAGGAGAGAGTTAAAAACAAAAATACATTCATATTATCTTTATATTTACTTATGTAGTTACCTTTACTTAATCTTTTTATTTTTTTAATGTGGATTTGAATTTCCATCTGGTATCCTGTCATTGTTACCTGAATGACTCCCTTTATTATTTCTTTCTTTCTTTCTTTTTTGTTTTGAGACAGAGTCTCTCTCTTGTTGCTCAGGCTGGAGTGCAGTGGCATGATTTTGGCTCATTGCAACTTCCACTGCTGCCTCAGCCTCCCAAGTAGCTGGGATTACAGGTGTCTGCCACCACGCCCAACTAATTTTTTGTATTTTTAGTAGAGTTGGGGTTTCACAATGTTGGCCAGGATGGTCTCAAACTCCTGACCTCAAGTGATCCACCTGCCTCAGCCTCACAAAGTTTTGGGATTACAGGCGTGAGCCACTGCACCCAGCATATTATTTCTTACATGACATGAATGTTGGTGACAGTTCTCTCAGATCTGGTTTGTCTAGGGACATCTTAATTTCCCTGTCAGTTTTAAGGGATATGGGATTGTTGGCTGACCTTTTTTTTCTTTCAGCCCTTTGACTATGTCATCTTACTTACTTCTCATCTCCGTGGTTCCTGATGAGAATTCAGTTGTTAAACTTATTTTAGATCCCTAGTAGGTGACAATTAATTTTCCTCTAGTTGCTCTAAATATTCTCTTATCTTTGGTTTTTTGATAGTTTGACTATTATCATGGCCATTTTTGAGTTTATCCTACTAGAGTTTGCTGAACTTCCTGGACATTTTGATTAATGTTTCTCATCAAATTTGTTTTATAATCTAACATATGACCATAAAATATTTGGCCATTATTTCTTCAAATATTCCTTTTGCTCCTTTCTCTCTCTCTTTTTTTCTTTTGAACTCCCATTCTTAAAATGTGGTTATGGTAGATGATGTTTCACAGTTCTCTGAGGCTCTACTAATTTTTCTTCATGTCTTTTTCTGTTCCTCTGACTGAATAATCTCAATTGACGTATCTTCAGTTCATTGATTCTTCCTTCTGCCAACTCAAATCTAATGTTAAGTCCCTTGAATGATTTTTTTATTTTAGTTGTTGTATTATTCAACTCTAGAATTTATCTTTGGTTCTTTTTAATAATTACTATCTCTTTATTGATATTCTCTGTTTGGTGATACATTGTTTACAGTTCTTTTTTTTTCAATTCCTTAGATATGGCTTCCTTTAGATTTTATGCATTTTTATAATAGCTGATTTAAAAGCTTTGTCTAATAAGTCTAACATCTATGCTTTGTTATGGATAGTTTCTATTGATGGCTTTTTCTCTATTTATAGGCATACTTTCCTCTTTCTTCCTTCCTTTCCTTCCTTCCTTTCCTTCCTTCCTTCCTTCCTTCCTTTCCTTCCTTCCTTCCTTCTTTCTTTTTTTGACAGGGTCTCACTTTGCCACCCAGGCCAGAGTGTAGTGGCATGATCATGGCTCTCTGCAGCCTTCAACTCCTGAGTTCAAACAATCCTGCTGCTTCAGCCTGTCACGTAGCTGAGACTACAGAACTGTACTACCACACCCAAACTTTCCTGTTTCTTTGTGTGTCCTGTAATTTTTGTTGGAAAATAAATATTTTAAATAATATACTTTGATATCTTTGGAAACTAAATCACCATACACGATTATTGTTGCTGTCATTGGTCGTTTGCTGGATCATTGTTGCTGTTTCTTATCGTTGTTGTTCTTATTTTTTTGTTGAATGTCCTTCTTGGACTTACTCTCTATTCTCTATCATAAGCCACCGAAGTCATTGATAAGTTAGCTTAATGATCAGCTAATGATTACACAGTTATTTCCTTAATTGCCTTTATCCAATAAGTTTCCAGTCTGCTGAGGGGCTATCTGTGCCTTGGCAGTTTACAACTCTGCCTTAGTCTTCATTTCCTTTTTGTTCAGGATCTCAGGTTCAGCCAGGGGTGAACCTGTGTTTTTCCTCGATATGTATCAATCCCTGTACATAAACATGGCCTTCTAGATTCCCAGAAATATGTTGGAGGTCTTCCAAGACCCTTATGGACATTTAATTACCCAGATACTCTTTTTAAGTTTTTTTTGGTCTGCCTCTTCTTTTCTTCAACTGGTATCACTACTTAAGGCAGTTGCACTGCTAGCAATTGTGGCTAATTATTTTTGACAAAGATTCTATGAATAGGGATTTTCCTACTGAAGGAGTTTTGAGTCAAGTCAAATAATGAAAAGCCCTGCGAATGGAGATTTTCCAGAGAGCTGGCAGACAGAGAAACTAGAAGCAATTTTCAAAGGATAGTGCTTTTTAAGGAGATCCAAATCTAGTCTGCTTCCTCAAGTTGCTGCTAGGCTGATGGTTTTCACAGTTGCCATGGTTATAATGCTGCTGATTTTCATGACTCTTGTAGAATTGGGAAGTAAGGAATGGAAATAGGGGAAGCTAAAACACCACAGAAGCTTGCTGTCCTTACCAAAATTTAGGCATTTACCTTGAGTAAACACTCCTTAAATTCTTACAAGCCTTTAGTTCATTTCCAGGGTTCTGACAAAGTTGATTTTGACAATTTTGTCAATGTTTTAATTACTTTTATGGAGAAGTGAATTTTTGGATCTCCTTACTCTATCATTCTAAAAGCCTGCCTCCTAAACAGTCCCTTAATAGTGTCTGTTCTTCCCTACTTGGAGCAGGTATGTTATTTTTTAATAACATCTCTGAGCTCTAATTTCCTCATCTGTAAAATGAAAATTGTCATATATGCCTCATGGAGTTGTTATAAATATTAAATGAGAAATTACTGAGCACTGTGCCCGGACTATAGTAGGCTGTTTGGAAAGGTTGTTTCTTCACTTCCTCTTTTATACTTCTGATGTATTTTATACCATTTAAATATTTTCAAAATCTAACTTAGAAATCAGCCATGATTATTCATATTTGTTAAAGTCTACTACTCTACTTAGCTTTCAGTTTCTTCCATAATAGACCCCCTGTCTTCCCTACAGATTTTCAGTCATGCTTAGCTTTAGCCAAGCTGTTTCATTCACTTTTCCTTGAATTGCAAGTGATACGGAGTTTTGTTTCTAAGCATTTATTATTTCCTGAATTTGTCTTCCCTTTATTTCTGCTCTCTCATTGGTACTATGCAAACTATTTTTTATCCTCTAGCCCAAACCAGGGGATAATCAATGAATCAAGGCATTTCTTACTTCGGTGAAATACAGAAACATTTGGCTCCTGCTAGCAGAGTTATTTCTGGGTTTCTCCACCTATTAACTAAACAACCTTCAAACTTCTCTGTCCTCAGTCTACACACCTTTCAGGACTTCAGCTGTCATCTCCTTGTTAAACTGTACATTCATGCTAGTTTGAAGCTCTACTTCTGCATGTAGTTACAGTCCATTTATTTATCTTTTATCTTTTGGTCTTTTTCATTGCTTTATGACCAATGCTTTAGCAGGGATTGTATAGCAGCATATCAGTACAATATTACCTTGAGTTGAATTACAAACATCAGAAGAAAACATGAATTTAAAAGATTCGAGTATAAAAGTAAGCAATATTTCAGAGAGGGATTAATAAAAAGAGTTTTTATGCAGTTTATTCCTGCAAATTTTGCAAAAAGCTTCTAAAATAAAAGTGAAATATTTTTAAAACAGTGCGAGTCAGAAAACTTTAACTCTGAAAAGTATCTATTAAATACTGCTATAAAAGATTAGGAAGTTGGTGCACATATATTTTCCCACTTCCTATGAACTACCTTTCTACTATTTTTGTTAGTCATATTAATTTTTTTAATATGTTTAAGGCTTATAGCGTATAAACCTATTATGTATATAAGCACAAATATTTTCTTAACCTGACCTTTAAAACTGAGCAGTAAATAATTACATCCTTTTGAGATGATAAACATATTTTGTAGCATTTGTTTTATGGATGCATAGTATATTTCAATATATGGCTGTACCCTAGTTCATGTAACTCATGTCCCATTATGAGGCATGTATGATATTTTCCATTTTTTCCTGTGTAAGCAATATCTGATGATCATCCTTATAACTAAGTTTTTGTTCACATAATATTTTCATTTTTTCTTTCCTTGGTTTACAAAGAAAAAAAAAGACAAGCTTAAAAAAATTTAAGTTTGGATAATCATTGGCTATCATGTTGACCAAGCACAAAGGAATTTCAATTAATGTATACTGAACCTACTGTAGTTCACCCATAAAATTAAAATGTAATGTCTTTTTCCCCAGGGTTTTGAAAGTTGCATTTAGATAACATCTGAAAAAGACATGCTATCAAACAGTGCAGTATATTACTAATTTCATTGTTGAGGCAGTTTTATGAAACCACTGCCACCACAGCACAGCTTTTATGGTTTATTACGTTTTGTCATAAATGACTACTTACAAAAACTGAAAACACTATGAAAATGTCAGAAGAGTCCTAGGTTCTCACATCCCTGGCTTTATAGACTGTAGCAGACCTTAAGGTTTCAAAGGATGCTATCATTAGGAATTCTTAACACATATCCTTTTGGAACAATTAATGATAATAACGTTTTCAAAAATTTATTTATTGACTATTGTATGCTAAATTATAAATATAAAAATTTAATATGCAAGATTATTGATACAGCAATTGCAGTATTATCCCAGTGATTGTAGTGATGGTATTTTGTGTACTTAAGAATAAAATCATCGGAGTTCAGGCAAGATGGCCAAATAGGAACACCTCTGGTCTGCAGCTCCTAGTGAGACCAATGCGGAAGGCAGATGATTTCAACATTCCCAATTGAGGTACCCAGTTCATCTTATTGGGACTGGTTAGACAGTGGGTACAGCCCAGAGAGGGTGAGGAGAAGCAGGTTGGTGTGTCACTTTACCTGGGAAGTACAAGGGGTCAGGGAAATCCCTCCCCTAGCCAAGGGAAGCCATGAGGGACTGTGCCATGAGGGATGGTGCTATCCAGCCCAGATACTACACTTTTCCCACAGTCTTCACAACCTGCAGACCAGGAGATTCCCTTGGGTGCCTACACCACCAGGGCCCTGGGTTTCGAGCACAAAACTGGGTGGCCATTTGGGCAGACACCGAGCTAGCTGCAGGAGTTTTTCTTCATACCCCAGTGGCACCTGGAACCCCAGCAAGACAGAACCATTCCTTCCTCTGGCAGTCTGAAGTTGACTTGGGACACTTGACCTTGGTCGGGGGAGGGGTATCCACCATTACTGAAACTTGAGTAAGCGGTTTTCCCCTCACAGTGTAAACAAAGCTGCTGGGAAGTTGGGATTGGGCAGAGCCCACCATAGTGCAGCAAAGCCACTGTAGCCAGACTGCCTCTCTAGATTCCTCCACTCTGGGCAGGGCATCTCTGAAAGAAAGGCAGCAGCCCTAGTCAGGGGCTTATAGATAAAACTCCCATTTCCCTGGGACAGAGCACCTGGGGGAAGGGGTGGCTCTGGGCACAGCTTCAGCAGACTTAAATGTTCCTGCCTGCTGGCTCAGAAGAGAGCAGCAGATCTCCCAGCAGTGCGTTCAAGCTCTGCTAAGGGTCAGACTGCCCCCTCAAGTGGGTCTCTGACCCCCGTTCATCCTGATGGGGAGACACCTCCCAGCAGGGGTCAGCAGACACCTCATACAGGAGAGCTCCACCTGGCATCTGGCAGGTGCCCCTCTGGGATGAAGCTTCCAGAGGAAGGAGCAGGCAGCCATCTTGGCTATTCTGCAGCCTCCACTGGTGATACCCAAGCAAACAGAGTCTGGAGTGGACCTCCAGCAAACTCCTGCAGACCTGCAGAAGAGGGGCCTGACTGTTAGAAGGAAAACTAACAAACAGAAAGCAACGGCATCAACATCAACAAAAAGGATGACCATGCAAAAACCTTATCTGAAGGTCACCAACATCAAAGACCAAAGGTAGGTAAATCCACAAAGATGAGGAAAAATCAGCACAAAAAGGCTGAAAAATTCCAAAAACCAGAATGCCTCTTCCCCTCCAAAGGATCACAACTCCTTGCCAGCAAGGGAACAAACCTGGACAGAGAATGAGTTTGATGAATTGACAGAAGGAGGATAGTAACAAACTCTTCCAAGCTAAAGGAGCATGTTCTAACCCAGTGCAAGGAAGCTAAGAACCTGAATAAAAGGTTACAGGAACTGCTAACTAGAATAACCAGTTTAGAGAAGAACATAAATGACCTGATGGAGCTGAAAGCCACAGCACGAGAACTTTGTGAAGCAGATACAAGTATGAATAACAGAATCATCAAGTGGAAGAAAGAATATCAGAGATTGAAGATGAACTTAATGAAATAAAGTGTGAAGACAAGATTAGAGAAAAAAGAATAAAAAGGAATGAACAAAGCCTCCAAGAAATATGGGACTATGTGAAAAGGCCAAACCTACACTTGATTGGTGTACCTGAAAGTGACGGGGAGAATGGAGACAAGTTGGGAGACACACTTCAGGATATTATCCAGGAGACCTTCCCCAACCTAGCAAGGCAGGTCAACATTCAAATTCAGGAAATACAGAGAAGACCACAAAGGTACTCCTCGAGAAGTGCAGCCCCAAGACACATAATCGTCAGATTCACCAAAGGAGATATGAAGAAAAAAATGTTAAGGGCAGCCACAGAGAAAGGTCGGGTTACCCACAAAGGGAAGCCCATCAGACAAAGAGCAGATGTCTCTGCAGAACCCCTACAAGCAAGAAGAGACTGGGGGCCAATTTCAACATTCCTAAAGAAAAGAATTTTCAAACCAGAATTTCATATCCAGCCAAACTAAGTTGCATAAGTGAAGGAGAAATAAAATCCTTTACAGACAAGCAAATGCTTAGGGATTTTGTCACAACCAGGCCTGCCTTACAAGAGCTCCTGAAGGAAGCAGTAAATATGGACAGGTAAAACTGGTACCAGCCACTGCAAACACATACCAAAATGTAAAGACCATAGACACTATGAAAAAACTACATCAACTAATGGGCAAAATAACCAGCTAGCATCATAATGACAGGATCAAATTCATACATAACAATATTAACTTTAAATGTAAATGGGCAAAATGCCCCAATTAAAAGACACAGGCTGGCAAATCGAATAAAGAGTCAAGACCCATTGGTGTGCTGTATTCAGGAGACCCATCTCATGTGCAAAGACACAAATAGGCTCAAAATAAAGGGATGGAGGAAGACTTACAAAACAAATGGAAAGCAAAAAAAAAAAAAAAAACCATAAAAAAAAAACAGGGGTTGTAATCCTAGTCTCTGATAAAACAGACTTTAAACCAACAAAGATCAAAAAAGACAAAGAAGGGCATTACATAATGGTAAAGGGATCAATTCAACCAGAAGGGCCAACTATCCTAAATATATATGCACCCAATACAGGAAGACCCAGATTCATAAAGCAACTTCTTAGTGACCTAGAAAGAGACTTAGACTCTTACACAATAATGGTGAGAGAATTTAACACCCCATTGTCAATATTAGACAAATCAATGAGACAGAAAATTAACAAGGATATTTAGGACTTGAACTCAGACCTGGGCCAAGTGGACCTAATAGACATCTATAGAACTCTCCACCCCAAATCAACAGAATATACATTCTTCTCAGCACCACATTGCAGTTATTCTAAAATTGACCACATAATTGGAAGTAAAACACTCCTCAGCAAATGCAAAAGAATGGAAATCATAACAAACAGTCTCACAGACCACAGTGCAATCAAATTAGAACTCAGGATTAAGAAAATCACTCAAAACTGCACAATTACATGGAAACTGAACAACCTGCTCCTGAATGACTACTGGGTAAATAACGAAATTAAGGCAGAAATAAAGAAGTTATTTGAAACCAATGAGAACAAAGACACAATGTACCAGAATCTTTGGGACACAGCTAAGACAGTATTTGGAGGGAAGTTTATAGCATTAATGGCCACATGAGAAAGTGGGGAAGTTCTAAAACCAACATCCTAACATCAATATTAAAAGAACTAAAGAAGCAAAAGCAAACAAGTTCAAAAGCTAGCATAAGACAAGAAATAACTACGATTAGAGCAGAACTAAAGGAGATAGAGACATGAAAAACCCTTCAAAAAATCAATGAATCCAGGAAGTGATTTTTCAAAAAGATTAACAAAATAGTAGACCCTAGCCCAACTAATAAAGAAGAAACGAGAGAAGAATCAAAAAAGACACAACAAAAATGATAAAGGGATATCACCAGTGATCCCACAGAAATACAAACTACCCTTAGAGAATACTGTAAACAACTCTGTGCAAATAAACTAGAAAATATAGAAGAAATAGATAAATTGCTGAACACATACATCCTCCAAGACTAAACCAGGAAGAAGTCAAATCTGTGACTAGACCAATAACAAGTTCTGAAATTGAGGCAGTAATTAATAGCTTACCAATCAAAAAAAAAAAAAAGCCCAAGATTAGATGGATTCAAAGTTGAATTCCACCAGAGGTACAAAGACGAGCTGGTACCATTCCTTCTAAAACTCTTCCAAACAATAAAAAAGAGGCACTCCTCCCTAACTCATTTTATGAGGCCAGCATTATCCTGCTGCCAAAACCTGGCAGAGACACACACACACAAAAATTCAGGCAATATCCCTGATGAACATTGATGCAAAAATCCTCAATAAAATCTGGGCAAACTGAATCCAGCAGCACGTTAAAAAGCTTATCCACCATGATCAAGTCAGCTTCATCCCTGGGATATAAGGCTGGTTCAGCAAATCAATAAATGTAATCCATTACATAAACAGAACCAATGACAAAAACCACATGATTATCTCAATGGATGCAGAAAAGGCCTTCCATAAAATTCAATACCACTTCATGCTAAAAACACTCAAAAAACTCGGTATTGATAGAACATATCTCAAAATAATAAGAGCTATTTATATCAAGCCCACAGCCAATATCATACTGAATGGGCAAAAGCTGGAAGCATTCCCTTTGATAACTGGCACAAGACAAGGATGCCCTCTCTCACCACTCCTATTCAACATAGTACTGGATATTCTGGCCAAGGTAATCATGCAAGAGAAGGAAATAAAGGGTATTCAAATAGGAAGAGAGGAAGTCAAATTATCTTGTTTGCAGATGACATGATTGTATATTTAGAAAACCCCTTCATCTCAGCCCCAAAACTCCTTAAGCTGATAAGCAACTTCAGCAAAGTCTCAGGATACAAAATCAATGTGCAAAAGTCACAAACATTTCTATACACGAATAACCAACAAACAGAGATCCAAATAATAAGTGAACTCCCCATTCACAATTGCTACAAAGACAATAAAATACCTAGGAATACAACTTACAAGGGATCTGAAGGACCTCTTCAAGGAGAACTACAAACCACAACTCAAGGAAATCAGAGAGGACACAAATAAATGGAAAAACATTCCACGCTTATTGATAGGAAGAATCAATATCATGAAAATGGCCACACTGCCCAAAGTAATTTATAGGTTCCATGCTATTCCCATCAAGCTACCATTGACTTTCTTCACAGAATTGGAAAAAACTACTTTAAATTTCATATGAAACCAAAAAAGAGCCTGTACAGCCAAGACAATCCTAAGCAAAAAGTACAAAGCTGGAGGCATCATGCTACCTGACTTCAAACTATACTACAAGGCTACAGTAACCAAAAAAGCATGGTACTGGTACCAAAACAGATATATAGACCAATACAACAGAACAGAAGCCTCAGAAATAACACTGCACATCTACAACCATCTGATCTGTGACAAACCTGACAAAAGCAAGCAATGGAGAAAAGATTTCCTATTTAATAAATGGTGTTGGAAAAACTTGCTAGCCATATGCAGAAAACTGAAATTGGACCCCTTCCTTACACCTTATACAAAAAGTAACTCAAGATGGATTAAAGATTTAAACCTACGACCTAAAACCATAAAAACCCTAGAAGAAAACCTAGGCAATACCATTCAGGACATAGGCATGGGCAAAGACTTCATGACTAAAACACCAAAAGCAATTGCAACAAAAGCCAGAATTGACAAATGGGATCTAATTAAACTAAAGAGCTTCTGCACAGCAAAAGAAACTATCATCAGAGTAAACAGGCAACCTACACAATGGGAGAAAATGTTTGCAATCTATCCATCTGACAAAGGGCTAATATCCACAATCCACAAGCAACTTAAACAAATTTACAAGGAGAAAACAAACAACCCCATTAAAAAGTGGGCAAAGGATATGAAGAGACACGTCTCACAAGAAGACATTTATGTGGCCAACAAACACATGAAAAAAGCTCATTATCACTGGTCATTAGAGAAACGCAAATCAAAACCACTATGAGATTCCATCTCACGCCAGTTAAAATGGTGATCATTAAAAAGTCAGGAAACAACAGATGCTGGAGAGGATGTGGAAAAATAGGAACACTTTTACACTGTTGGTGGGAGTATAAATTCGTTCAACCATTGTGGAAGACAGTGTGGCAATTCCTCAAGGATCTAGAACCAGAAATACCATTTGACCCAGCAATCCCATTGCTGGGTATATACCCAAAGGATTATAAATCATTCTACTATGAAGACACATGCACACGTATGTTTATTGCAGCACTGTTCACAATAGCAAAGACTTGGAACCAACCCAAATGCCCATCAATGATAGACTGGATAAAGAAAATGTGGCACATATACACCATGAAATACTATGCAGCAATAAAAAGGGATGAGTTCATGTCCTTTGTAGGGACAGGGATGAAGCTGGAAACCACCATTCTCAGCAAACTAACACAGGAACAGAAAACTAAACACCATGTGTTCTCACTCGTAAGTGGGAGTTGAACAATGAGAACACATGGACACAGGGAGAGGAACATCACACACCAGGGGCTGCTGGGGGGTGGAGAGCTAGGGGAGGGACAGCATTAGGAGAAATACCTAATGTAGATGACGGGTTGATGGGTGCAGCAAACCACCATGGCACATGTATACCTATGTAACAAACATGCACATTCTGCACATGTATCCCAGAACTTAAAGTATAATAAAAAAAGAATAAAATAGTCAGAAACTCTATATGCACATTGTAAATATAAATGTTAGCTAGTTAGCTAGTACCTTTCATAATATTGCAAAATAATATATATTTGCAATATTCATTACATTAATTCATAAAATTCATAAAATTCTTAAAATTAATTAAGGTTTGAGGAATTTGTATTTAAGAATCTACCTTCTGAATATGTGCTTAGGTTAAAGGAGAGGCAGTCTGCATTAATAATTCAAAATGCTCTATTTATCCTTGCCTAATTAAAAAAGGAGTCTTCACTGAATCTGTTGAGTGGAATGGTGTGTCTGTATGTCACTAAAATCTCTGCACCACTGGCTTTTCTCTTCTCTTTAGAAGTGTTTAATAGAGGAGCAAATGCCATTGTAAATATGCCATGGCTTTACAAGGGGAGGACACTTAATCCCACATGTATTAAGATACTACTACATAGCAGGCATTAAGCTAGGTGTTAGGGGCTTTAAGATCAATGTGATATAATTTGTCTTTGATAAGCTTATATGTCAGAGAGACAAATAGATAAAGAGGTCATTTCAAGATCATAGTTTTACATTAGTATTAGGGCAGAAGCATTCAAGGGTTTTTTTGGAAAAAAGAATGCTGACCCATTCTGGTAAGTTAAGGTAGTGCCTGAACTGAGTCTTCAAAGATAAAAGTTAGCCAAGCAGAGGGTAGTTCAGGCAGTTACAAAGACACGAACAATTCCAACCGGGTTCTAGTCCTGCTATGGCTAGTATGCTGAGCACGGTTGTGCAGGCTGTGCTCTGAAGTCCAGCCCATGCTTTCACTTCTACCTAAGTACTTTTTTGAAATTCATCTGCCCACCTTTCTATAATTTCTTTATTGAGAATTGAGATCTTTTTATATTTGTTTTTATCAAAAGGGGCAGTTTTCTGTAGTTCATACAAAAGCACTGTATTTTTAGGCTGGTGCTATTGGTCAGAGGGTAAGGATTTATCTTCATATCATCTTTAACTCACAAGTTTTCTAAGCATCGATTACTTGTTTAGCCCCTTATTCTCTCTTCTTAAGGCTTGTAAGCATCCTGATGTTTATGCCTCTGGGTTGTCAACAGTTTGCTATGTGTTAAAGATTGAGAAATAGGTAAACAGAACTAGGTTTCACTCTGGGTTGTCCCTCTGCTGTCTAGACCAGAGTCAATGCAAACCAAAAGTAACATGGACCACTGGCCGTCCACCTAAGGGAGTGCTTCTCAAAAGGGAACAAGTGCACACTGAGGTTGCTTCCAGGAACGTTAGCTTCCAAGGGCTTGTGCATTCTCCAGACTCTTCTTTCCACATGGTGTCTCTCTTTTTATTCCTTCCTCTCAGCCGGTTGCCTCTAGGTAGACTGTGCCAATTAAAATCTTCTTCTGCCATAAGCCTCCAAATCTCTTCCTCTCTCTCTTTCTCTCTCATGTTTCTGCAGTAGGTGATTCACATCTACATGTTTGTGTGCCGGCTTGGAAGACGGAAAATGTCCTCAGAGGCACAAATGGAAGAGTTCACTAAGTTCAGAGAAAGTATGTGTATAGGCAAAAACAGATGAAAACGTGTAAGTATTATATTACTATATGAACTGGAAATCAATTGCAAAAAAACATTTTGGGAACACCTAGAATAGTGATTGGGACATACAATCACTTAGTTTAACTGGAAGAAGTCATATAAAACAAACCTTTGAAAAATATTGGTCTAGTGCTGGTAATCAACAGTGTTCCATTAGGATATCAAACTCAAATAAGCAAGGAGATTACTTTGATTAGCCACTGTCTTAGGAGATGTTAGGAAAATATTAACCCCATAGATAATAAAGGATTGAAGATAAGTAGTTTACTTTTTTTTTCTACTCCTTTGGCAAATATGAGCAGGCCTCTAAGTAAATTCAAAAGGTTTTAAATTTCTAGTTTGGTATTTCTGAGGGGCTCCAAGGAAAAGGTTGCAAACTGAGAACTATGACTCTGAACAATTGTGCTTGGGGAAGTCTTAATCCAGCAAAGTTTTGCTTTTACTTAGCAGTCAAACCAAATCTTTGATCCCTAGCCAAGAAAACTAGTAGTTTATTAGTGGTTATCAATTGGCAAGTAAAATACACATTTCAGAGAGGAAAACGTGTTGGGATAGAGTTATCTGGACAAATTAGAGGATGAGTTCATTTGATCAGGGTTACTGGGAGCAGTGGATATTGTGATAAGAGCATGACTTAAAGAGATTAAACAAATACTGCTACTTACATTAGGCAGGAATATAATTTTTGGCAAGGTTTTCAAAAGCCTGCAGTCATTCTGCCACCACCCTGTACACCACCTTATGACAATGCTTCCAAGGTGTAGGCTGAGGACCGCATGCATCAAAATCACCTGCAGTACTCTAAAATATCAGATTCCTGTATTCTACTCTGAGTTTACAGCATCAGTATCTTTTAGAGTGAGGCTTGAGAATCTCACTGTTTTTAAAATCACTGAAGTATTCTTAGGTCCATTACCATTTGAGAATTGTTGACATATAGAATACTATGTACTATATACAGCTCTGATTTGCAAACATATAGGAGTTTATGCAAAGAAGCTATAGATTTAGATTTCAAGATGTAGAAATTCCATGGTATGCATATATCTCCTCATGGGAGGAATAGAGAAATACATTTCTACTTCAAAATAAATCTGTACTGACTAAACCAATATACTTTTTATTTAGGTTTTTCCTCCTTAAAAAATGTTTTTTAAATAGTTGTATACAGATGAACTGGAAAGAACTGAGAAGGAATAGATGAGTAGGAAGTTGGGGGAAAGTCTAGTATTCACATAGCCTGTTTATAATTAAAGCTATCAATGTGGATAAGTAAGTTACACTGAATGGTATGCTGGTAAGTGTTTAACAACTAGCACTTCAGGAAAGAGTCCTGATTTGTAGAATTTGATGATTTCTGTGGTGTGAAACACCTCTAAATTGGTTAATTTAAGCTACCGATATTTTAACAAATGGCTAGCAGAGTTCCCGATTTTGATAAATCAGTTTAGGTGAACCAATGTCAGCCAGCTCCACCAATTTCATGTATGTACCATTATTTATGCCTCATTTCTCAAAGTTAACTTTGTAATTTATTTATTATATTAAGCAGTAAATAGTGTCCTCTCTCAGCTCCAGTCAACATTCATATGTCCATGTAATTTTTCACATTTTGCTGCTCTTTTAAAATCATTATAATTTTGATATGTTAAGACAGGCAGTGAACTGCTTTCTTAGAATTATACTTTCTTAATGTGCTTTGAAAAGGAATAAAGAGATCTTACACTAGTAATGGAAACTAATAGTAACCATAAGATGAAATAAGTTAGTCATTTTTAGAAAGTATTTCTAAAACAAAATGGCATCAATATATTAGATACCATTTGATGCATTTTTTAAAAAAATTCTCTTCTGCAAAATAATTTGGTTCATAGACTTGAAGAATAAGGAGGTATCTGGCTCAATTGCTTTAAAAAAAACCCTAAATAACTATGCTTAATATTCACTGAGAAGTGGAAGCTGATTGCTCTGGCAGCCGATAGGTCTGACAGGGAAATAGTTGTATAATTTTCCTTTGGAAAGAAAGGAAAGGCACGGAAGAAATTTGAGGGATTTTTAAACAGTACCCAAATATACCCACAAGCAACTTTTCTGAGTTGGAAAGTATCATGTGAGAAAGACACATATATTTTGAGAAAGCTCCCCATGATAATTCTGATTGAATTGTTATATACCATCTCTGGGCTGCTCCCCTTGCCTCTGCCCTTATCTCTACCCATCGCACTCTCCCTTGAGAAACACTGCATTAGAGTATAGGCAAAATACTGGATTTGAATTTTGATTCATTTGGTTCTACTTGAAAATGTTATTTTTAGAGGAATTTAAGAATCAGGAATTTAATTTTCAATGTGCCATTAAATTGTTCCTCTAGTGAGTAATTCAGCTAAAATAATATTGGCTAATTAGTAGGGAAGGATATTGTGGTGACGATGATTAAAAATGCCAAATATCTGGACTATATATTCTTGTGGACTAAACTGTCTTCCCCCAGTTTTATATGTTGAAGCTCCAATATGAATATGTTTGCAGACATGGCCTTTAAGGAAGTAATTAAGTTTAAATGTGGCTACAAATCATCTTTAAGAGAAGGATAAGAGACACTACGATGTCTGTCTCTCTCTGCATGTTCACAGAGAAAAGGTCATGTGAGGACGCAGTAAGAAGGTTACCATTTGCAAACTGGGAAGAAAGCCCTTACCAGAATCCAATCAGCTGGCACTTTGATTTTGGACTTCAAGCCTTCAGAACTATGAGAAAATTAATTTCTGTTGTTTAAACCATGCAATCTATGGTATTTTGTTATGACAGCCTGAGAGGACTAATACATATATGTTATAAAAGTTCCTTTTTATTACTTTCAAAAATATAATTAAAAACAGGCCATATGTTCTTTTAATAACCACCGCCATAACAACAATGGCTCATATTGATTGAATTACTTTTATCAGGCATAGTCCCAATTTCTGTGCTAATATTGACCCATTAAATCTTTCCAAGGCTATTAAGTTGGTACCATTATTGTTTTCCCTGCATGACCAAATAAGGAAATGGAGACAGAAGAGTTTAAGGAATTTGCTCAATGCCACATACCACAGAAGTGGTAGCATTTGGATTTGAGCCCATAATTCTGGCTTAAGAGTTCAAGTAAGTTCTTCCTCATTATGTTTTAGGAATAATACATGACTGATAAATAATTATTTTATGCTTATATAAAGGTTTAATTCCTAAAAGAAGTTCTTTATCTAAATTGCCTTTCATCTTCCTCCATCAAGTTACCATTTGTCCAAGTCCATTTTGTGCTGCTATAACAAAATATCTGAGACTGGGTAATTTATGAAAAACAGAAATTTATTTCTCACAGTTCTGGAGGCTGTGAAGTCTAAGATCAAGGAATCAACAGGTTCAGTTCTCCATGAGGGCTTCTCTCTGCTTCCAAGATGTTGCCTTGATGCTGCATCCTCTGAAGGGAAGGAAAGCTATATCTTCACATGGCAGAGGGCAGAAGGACAAAAAAGATGCCAACATTCCCTATGTCAATCCCTTTCATAATGGCATTAATCTATTAATAAAGGTGAGGTCCCAAGACCTAAACACCTTTCAAAATGCCCCACCTCCCCACACTGTTGCACTGGAGATGACATTTCCATCACATGAATTTTAAGGAAACACATTCAGACCATAGCATTCTGTCACAGCCCCCAAAATTCATGCCCATTTTACAACCCAAATAGATTTATTTCATCCCAATAGCTCCCAAAGTCTTAACTGATTCTAACATTGATTCGAAGTCTAGAGTCCAGAGTCTCATCTATGTCAGATATGGATGAGAATCAAGACATGACTCATTCTGAGGCATATTTCCCTCCAGCTGTGAGCCTGCAAAATAAACAAGTTATTTGCTTCTAAAATAAAGTGATGGGACAGGCATAGATAGAATAGACATTTTTATTTCCAAAGGGGGAAATAGGTAAAAAAGAAGAAGTAACAGTTCCCAAATAAGGTCAAAATCCAATATGGCAAACCATTAAATATAAGACTGCAGAATCATCTTCTTTAACACTATGCCCCACAGCCTGGACACACGGCGTATGGGGTCGGTCTCCAAGGCTCTAAGGGACCCTGTTGCCATTGTTCTCAAGAATTGGAGTTGGGTGCCTGCAGGTCTCAGGCTGGTACTGCACACTGGTAGCTCTACAGTTCTGAGGTCTCCTGCCCTCAAGGCTTCATTAAGCACTACCCCAATGGGGGCCATCTACAGTAGCTATAAGATAGAAGTTTGGCAGGACTGGTTTCACAAGATACAGGTCACAAACATCCCACTGATAAAACAGGATGCAGTAAAGAGGCTAGCCAAAACACACCAAACCCCAGATGGTGAAGAAAGTGCCCTTTGATTGTGCTCACTGCTCATTATATGCTAATTACAATAATTATCATACTAAAGGAAACTCTCACCAATGCCATGACCATTTACAAATTTTATGGCAATGTCTGGAAGTTGCCCTATATGGTCTGAAAAGGTGAGGGACCCTCAGTTCTGTGAATTCCCAACTCTTTTCCTGGAAAACTTACAAATATTCTACCCCTTATTTAGCAAATGATCAAGAAATAAACATAAAAATAGCCAACCAGCAGCCCTCAGGGCTGCTTTGCCTATAGAGTAGCCAGTCTTTTATTCTTTTACTTTCATAATTTACTTGTTTTCACTTTACTTGGCCAGCTTGCTCTGGAATTTCTTCCTGCATGAAGCCAAGAATCCACGTGGCCTCCTTGGCTGAACCCCAATTTTGGGGTTCTCCCTGTGACATCTTCTTTGGTGACCACAAAGGGACAATGGAGACCTCCACCAGGAACCCAAATTAAGACTGATTGGCACAATTTGGACCTGCCAGGAGGATGAGTCTCCCTTTGTCCAGATTCAACTAGCTACCTTTTTTTCCCCTTCAGGTTTGGCTCCTCTGTCCTATCCTACGTTCTTTTAACTTTGGACAGACCAAGAAGTGGACATGAGACCCTGGCCATCTCCCATTATCTATGTATCCTGGACAGCAGCATGCCTGGTCAGCCACATCCTTCGTAACTCCCCTTGTTACTCCATCTCTCGAACCTTTTGTCTTTAGTTTCTAATGAATGGCCATTTTACTTTTTTCTTCTTAGTGCTGAAATGCATGTTTATGCTTACTTCATTGTCACATTTGTTGTCTTTGCATTGGCTATTTGGGCAATTGTTTAAGGTAGGACATTTGGTTATGAGGGGTCCCCTGTTCTACTGACCTTGGGATGCCAGAGCAGTGTTGTTCTGTGACCCCAACTGTGTTAGATCTCACACATGCCTTTGGTGTTCACTGTTGGCCATCCCCCCAGATGCTCTGGGGTTTTTGGCATTTGGTGTGGGGAACGTCACTGGCTTTGGTACTGTTGACCACCCCTGGGATGCTCTGGGATTTTTGGCATTTGCATTCCCTCTAGGATTGTGGGTGAGATTCCCATCCTAGGTGAATTTTGGTCTCACCTTTTCTTGTTTTCTACTCCAAAGTTATTTTCTGTAACAGCATTTTTTTTCTTATTTTGCCTTTATTTAATGCTTTGCTACAGGAGGTGGAAATTTGCAGGGGAAAATAATTGGGCTTTCACTAGACTTAGAAAAATGTATGTGTCTAGTAAAGATGTTTGTTAGACACCGGGAAAATGGTAAGTCCTAAAGGACTCACCACTAGGGTGCCTTTTAGGGAACTGGGGCAAATTCAAATTAGCAAACAAAGTTTAGCCATGTGGACAAATACCAATTCTGTCTGAGAAATAATTTGGATCCAGCTATCTTTTATAAAATAATGAGTTTGTGTTACTATATCATGGCTAGAGTTCCAAGATAAAAGTCACTGGATATTTGTTTATGTGTGTGTATGCATGTCTAGATGTGTTTATATATATGTGCATTTATTATGGTATATATTGTGTCTGTGGGGTACCAAATGGTTTATAAATAAAAGAGCATTCATAAATTAAATAAACAAGTCCAAGCATTTTTCTAGTTCACATGACTTAAGCTCACTAAAATTATGGTTACTAAAAATTCATGTATAATTCTGTATATAAAATGTGCCAAAGAATATATACTTTTATTGAAAAAATTTTGGCCAATTCGGCTGTTATTTAAAGTGGAATTTAAAATATGGATTTAGGAAAAAAATAGAAATAAGGTAAGTAGGGGAGAGAGATATGAAGAAAGTTATGGATATGAAGATGCATTTTTGGTAAGGAAGGTTACAAAGAAAAGAAATTTTATGTGAAAATCTTACATGGTAAATTCTTGTCCTAAAGTAGAATGACTGATTATTTAGGAAAGAAGGAAATATAGGTCAAGTCAGAAAGTCCAAGCATGTCATAGATGGTCTGTGTAAGCTGCAATAAGCTTCATAAATGGGAATTTATTAAAAATTGTATATATATTTAAATTAGCCGTAACTGAAAGGAAATTTATTTGTGATAGTTTATCTAAATTTTGGTCTCCTATGTTAAAACAAGTTCGTTTTCTTTTTTTAATGTATTGGTTTGCTTTCAGTAAGATTGCAAGAAATATTGACTTTTGACTTTAAAAACTGTTTCCTCTTAAGGCTTCTCAGATGTTTATCTTTTTCTTTTCCCTTGAAAAGGTATATCCATTGTAAACTCAAAAATGGCCGCTCTAGACACCTTCTGGGAAGAGCAAATGATGCTCCCCTCATGCTGTAGCTCATTAGCTAAGGCTTTAGCCTTTTATGTTCACAGCCTGGGTTCAATTCCTATCTTAGGGAATGTGTTCTTACTGGTTTGATACTTGCAGGACTTTTGCTATTTACTCGTTCTTTTTCCCTCCACATACAGCTTCTGATTTCCTGACTTGAATTTTCTTTTCTCCAGGCTACCATAGGAATGATTCTAGATCTTGTAAAAACCACTTGCCATCTCTTTGGAGACACCTCATGTGTCTGTGGTGAAGTCATAAGTTTAGTTAATGCTTATGGGTTTTACTTGGGAAAATACTTTTGAGAAAAAAAAAAGGCTTAAAAAACCAGAGGCTTCAGCTGTTTTTCCTGGCTAGAGTCTGGTCTGGTATTAAGAGATTTAAATGTATTTTTAAAAAAGAGCTCTATAGATAAAATCCAGCTTAATTAAAAAGGGATATCCAAGCTGCCATATATATATACACAAACACACATATATATGTACGTATGTATATATTTAAACCTCTTTATGCTTTTTCTTTTCTTGGATCTTGTGTTTTTGATAAAAAGGGATTTTTTTGTTTTGTTTTTCTTCCCAGTTGACTGAATTATTTCTCCAGTCTGTCTTCTTGCCTTCCTCAGTGTCCACATGAGAGAACCTAAGGTAATTTCTGACAGTCTGGGACTCCTTGGAAAACAAAGTGGAGGTGCCACAGACTCCATTTTGGGGAAAACCTCTGTTTTCTTCATGGAACCCCAGGGATTGTGAGTAGATAGATACCTCTCCACATCTAGGGCTTTGCTCTGTTTTGAATTGTGTTACCTGAGCTTTTTGACTTTTGGGAGCATCAAAAATTACTTTACATTTTAAAAAGCTTTTAACCTTGGTGTATAATAGCTAGACAGGAAATACACTTTTGGGAATTGCTAAGGGCAGTTACTGAAGAATGGAATACTTCACTCTTTGATGTTGCGTAAGAAAAGTATGCTTTTGACCTCCTGGAAGGTATGGAAGCATTTTCAACCCCCACTGAGATGTAAGACTCCCATGGAGGATGGGCTAATTATAGATGGGCTAATTGGCTTTGGGTTACCCACCAGCCTCTGGGGAATGCCTGTGCAATAAAATGCACAGTGAAAGCATTGCACTGTGTTATCCATGGTGTTTGTCACTTTTTTAGGGACCAATAATTCAGTTTAAAAATGAGATTAATTATTTTTGAGAGATCTCCTTTTGCCTTCCATCTATGCTCACCAATGAGGCCCTAGAAACTGCAGGTTTTCCTGGTCTTGTTCCTTAAAAGGCTCCACCCTAAAGCCAATAATCCAATTAAGATTTTTACATGTTTAAGGAAATCTCCAGGTGTAAGGGTGTCTACTTTTCTTGACTGTTTTGACTAAACTTTCAACCATGCCATTTTTCACTTAAAAATTATCCCTTTAAAAATGCAAATTTGGAACTACTTGGCTGACAGTTGTTTAGAACAAGGGAACAGGTAATCGGGAGACTGATGGTTTAAAATTAAAAAGAGAAACTTTACTACAAATAAAAAACCTTATCAACCTACCAGATCTGCCTCCGTCTGTGAATTTATATGTGTTGTGTGTGTAATGTTTCACTAACAAAATATATGAAAGAGCTCTAATTAATTGGCTTTTAGAAAAAGCACTTAGGCTGGGCACGGTGGCTCATGCGTGCGTGTAATCCCAGTACTTTGGGAGGCCAAGGTGGGTGGATCACAAGGTCAGGAGATCGAGACCATCCTGGCTAACACGTTGAAACCCCATCTCTATTAAAAATACAAAAAAAAAAAATTTTGCTGGGTGTAGTGGTGGGCACCTGTAGTCCCCACCACTTGGGTGGCTGAGGTGGGAGAATAGTGTGAACCCAGGAGGTGGAAATTGCAGTGAACCGAGATAGCGCTACTGCACTGCAGCCTGGGTGACAGAGCAAGACTCCGAAGAAAAAAAAAAAAGCACTTAAGTCAAATATTTTGTCAGAAAAATAAAAACTTTAATGCCTTTTAGTTCATGTGACTCTAACAGTCTTTTAAAAACAAAGACAGTTTAAAGATTACTGGTAAATTAAAATGAAAATGTCTTCAAAATTTAGATATTTCGTCTAAATTATGCTGGTCCTACATTAGATTTACTAAATGCTTTAAGGATATAAACCACTTTTATTACTTTTGATAATTTTTGACTTACCTGCTCTAGAGCTATTAGATACTAGATAATGCCTGGGGACATATAGAATTAACAATGCCCCCTAGCTATGCTGGAAAGAGTCAGATGTTATCCGGAGTTCTGTCTTGTAACCTAGGCTCTGCCCCTAATAAGTAATTAAAATTGTTCACATTAAAAATAATATAAAGTATGTGTTCCTGGTAAAAAAAAAAAGTATGAGAATGTGGTTTTTTAAAAAGAAAGTAATTTTGTCTAATTTAGAGGGTTTAAGAATCATTTTAAGTTAAACTAAAGGTTTAAGTAAGTTGTGGAAGATTTATGAAAAAATTAGCCTTTTAAAGAATTCTGTGTGTGAGCAAGTTGACTAAAATTAAAAAAGTATTATTTAATTTTTCCATAAATTGAATACTAAAATAAAAGCATACTGATGCAGGTCTGCTGTTTGGGCCCATATGTCAGAATAAAAGTTTTGGGGAACATTGATCTGCTCTTTAATAGAAAATTATAAAAGATTATAAAAGGTTTATGGAAATCTTACCTTATGGTAAAATGAATTAAACTTGGATAGATTTGTTTATAAGATTTTATTAAAAATTAGCTTTAGCATTAATGATACACTAATGCAAAGATGAAATTTAGTTTCTCTTTTGAATAAGATTATTGTATAATACTGAGAAACAATAAAAGATTTTTGTTTGCCTTTTAAATAAACTACAGGTAAAAAAGGGGGATGGAAAAGAAACAGATTTATTTGGCCTTGTGCTGTTTTTATTGGATCTTGTTGTTTGAAAAGCTGAGTCTGCTCTCTACCAATCGGTAAAGATTTTTGCCTTTTTGAAATTTTGAGTTATCATTTCGGCTAAATAAATGACTTACAGTGACCTGGGATTCTATTGTGTAATATGAAGTGTTTTAAACCTTTGATATTTGGCAAACTTTCCAAGATCAAGTTTTAAATTAAGTTTGTTTTTTTTTAACGTGATTAAGACTTTTTGATATTAGATCCTGTAATGTCCAAAAGAGAAATATTTGGCTTATTTGATATATTAAAATCATACAAGGAGTATTGTCAAATATAAAATGTAAATTGCTGTCTACCACAAAGTTTACCAGATTTCCATGCTAATTACATCTTAGGACTGTGGCTGTCCTAAGGCTTTTGTTACCCATGGATAATTATTGACTTGTTCTAATTCTTTTCAAAAGGCAGTTTATACTTAGCTATAGGAGCCTTGCTCTGTCACCCAGGCTAGAGTGCAGTGGCATGATCTTGTCTCACTGCAACATCCACCTCCTGGGTTCAAATGATTCTCCCGTTTCAGCCTCTTGAGTAGCTGGGATTATAGTCACACACTACCACACCTAGCTAATTTTTTATATTTTTAGTAGAGATGGGGCTCCACTATGTTGGCCAGGCTGGTCTTGAACTCCTGACCTACAGTGATCTTCCCACCTCGGCCTCCTAAAGGGCTAGGATTATAGGCGTAAGGCACAGCGCCCGGCCTGATGCGTACTCTTAAATGCAAGTCGCTGATAACTTTGAAAATTGTGCCATTCAAATAGAGTAAAAACTCCAAAACCCCAAAGAGCAAAATAAAGAAAAAAACACTTCCAAGGCTCCTGTACAAAGCTAACATATTCATAAGGACTGTTGGCCCAATATTGGGCAAAACAAGATTTGATAGCCTGGACTAAATTAATAAAAGACTGAAATAATCTTTTTATGATTTTTTGCTTAAAATGTTGCTGATCCTTTCTGTTTTCTTTTTCAGAGTCAAGACAAGTTTTTTCTTTTGAGCTATTTATAGCTTTCAGCAATTGAGTAAAGAATACTACTGTAAGAAAACTTTGGAGCATGTGTCTTTCTATCTGCCTGATTTATCTAGAATTTGGAAACCATTTTTGAGTATTCTTATGGCAATATAGTTATCTGCATAAGTGCAATAAGAATCTGTTTTCTTTTGTAACAGGACACAATTGGAGACGATGGTTATTTTACTAACACTTTGACTGGAATGGCACGCTTTCAAATATAAACAGACTGCTTTATGGTATCAAAGTTGACTCAAAGAGTTAATAAAAGCCCCTTGGGAAAACTGTCTTCATAGTTTGTCTCTGTAGTCCCTGTACAGGGTTTCTGACCTGTGGTAAGTAAAGAATATTACTTTCTGGCATGTCCAGGAGTTGCAAGTTATCTTGGGACCTCAAGAGGAGAGGAATTCACTCACCTCATATAGATATTTGCAGGCATAGATAAATCTGATGCTGAACTCAAGGCTTTAAAAAGTCTAGCTGAGATTCCTTATGGAACAAAGTTCCATCAAAGCCAATTTTAAAAGGACCTGTCTGGCAAATAAATATTTTTGCTGCAATTTATGCAGATTAGACCAATAATAATAATAATAATAATAATAATAATAATAATGAAATTTATTTTGCAAACAATTCAGTCCTACCATGATGTGTCTTTGGTAAAAATGAGAGACAGGAGAGAGAAAAATTATGTTTCAAAAAAAATTATAGTACACCTGTTGTTAGATTCTACTCTTGCCTATTGTTTTTGAGTTTTTATTATTTTCTGCAATTTGGACTGACTCATAAATTCTGTCCAGGCTACAAGTCCACAAATGAGCATTTTCAAAGTTTTCTTCCATCTTTCTGACTAAACTCAATAATATTATTACTACTACCTTTTTCCTGAGGCCTTGCAAGCTACAGCTTATTCCTTGTGATACAGGCAAGAAAAGCAAGAAACAGATTGCCACTGCCTTCCTTCTCTATAAACTAAAGATGTTTTAAGTCTAACAATCTAACATTTGGATAAATTGTGCCTAACATTAATCTTTGTTTTCCTTTTGTTTCCTTAAAAAACCCTCTTACTAAAAATCTGTTTTGCTTTGTATTTTAGACAACAGGAGACTGATTTTCTAGCCTATTCACTTAGGTTTCAAATGGCACCCTATTTCTTTTATAAGCATTGCTAATCTGGGCTTAAGCATTTTGTTATTACTAGGTGCTATTTGAGTTTTTTAAAAAATAATTATTTGTTATTTTCGACAGGGTTTCAGACAACTAAAGTTTACGTTTTGAAGGCTACAACAGTTCTAGACAAAGATGATAATTGACCCAAGGGTTCCAGCCTTTGCCACTGCACAAAAGATAACGTCCCTGTAAGTCATTAGATCCAGTAACAAGAAGTTTCTATGCCTACAGAGCAGGTAGGGACAATGGCCCTTGTTCAGCATGAAACAGTTATAGAGGACACCCTCTCATCCTTCTATAGCCCCTTAAGATTAAGGAGGAGTATGTAGTATGCAGTCTCTGAGATGGGGGAAGGGGATGACATAGGAGCTCAGTAGGAATGGTTTCACAAGATAAGGTCACAAAGACCTTGCTCATAAATCAGGATGCAGTAAAGAAGCCAGCCAAACTCTGCTAAAATCAAGATGGCAATGGATGTGACCCCCTGGTCATTTTCACTGCTCATTACATGCTATTTATAATACATTACCTTGCTAACAGACACTCCCATCAGCTCCATGCCCTTTCACAAATGCGATGCCATGGCAATGTCTGGAAGTTACCCTACGTGGTCTGAGAGGGGGAGGAACCCTCAGTTCTGGGAATTCCCTGCCTCTTTCCTGAAAAACTCGTGAATAATCAACCCCTTGTTTAGTATAAGATCAAGAATAACCATAAAAACAGGCAAACAGTAGTCCTCAGGGTTGCCTTACCTAAGGAATAGCCACCCTTTTATTTATTCACTTTCTTAATATACTTGATTTCGCGTTACTCTGTCAGCTTGCTCTGGAATTCCTTCCTTTGTAAAGTCAAGAACTTACGAGGTCTCCTAGGCTGAATCCCAACTTTGGGGCTCACCCTATGACAGCTCCACCCCTGTGGCAGTTCTCTGCTTGGGCCCAAGGCTGTCTGAGACATCTTTTGAAATCTCAGGGGAGGTAATCATGCCTCCTCAGCTCTTGCGCTCTATGCATCTGCAGAATTAGCACCCTGTGGATGCCACCAAGGCTCACTGCTTGCACCCTTTGGAGTGGTGACTCCTGCTGCACCTGGGCCCACTGAGCTATATAGCTTGGGTGGTGAAGGAGTGCTGTGCAGAATGCAGAGAGCAGAGACCCTCAGTGTCCCTGGGAAGTGAGCTCCAAGATCACACGGAGGGCCTGGGTCTCTTTCCAAAAAATGTTCTGCCATAAGGCCATACCACTGTGGGCCGGGAATGGGTATAGCAGCTCATAAAGTTTCTGAAGTACCTTCAGGGTCATTCTCCCATTTTCTTGAATGAAGAGCACCTGGCTTCCTTCTCTACATACTAAAATGACCAGAGGTCACTTTCATTGCCATCTTGGTTTTGGCAGACTTTGGCTGGCTTCGTTATGGCAATCCTGATTTATCAGCAGGGGCTTTGTGACCTGTATCTTGTGAAACCAGTCCTGCTGAACTGTTTCTTATCAAATGGTTGCCTGGCCACGCCCTTGGTTTTCTCTCCTAAACACATTTTTTTATCCTTTACATGGTCAACCTGAGAATTTTCCAATTCTTTACGTTCTGCTTCCCTTTTAATCATAAATTCCACTTTTAAATTATTTTGCTCTTCTTGCATTGTACTATAAACAAGTAAAAGAAGTGACACGTATCTCAAATACTTTGCTGCTTAAAGATTTCTTCATCAAATATCCTACTTCATCATTCTTAATTCTGTCTTCCACAAAGTCCTGGGAACATAGACATAATTCAGTCAAGTTATTTGCCACTTTGTAACAGAGTTGGACTCTCCTCCAGTTTCCAATATCTCATTCCTCATTTCTATCTAAGTCCTCATCACAATGACCATGGCCTTTACTGTCAATATTTCTACCAGTATTCTGGTCACAATCACTTAAGTAATCTCTTAAGAAGGATGAAGTTTTCCCTACCGCTCTTCTCTTCTTCTGAGCCTTCACCAGAATTGCCCTTAATGCTCCATTCATGTAAATATAGGCTTTTTCTAGCATTCACTTCAAAAATGTTCCAGCCTCTACTCATTACCCGGTTCCAAAGTTGCTTACACATATTTTAGGTATTTATTACAGTGACGCCCCATTCCTCTGGTGCTAATTTCTTTTCTAATCTGTTTTGTGTTACTATAACAAAATACCTGAGACCGGGTAATCTATAAAAACCAGAAATTTATTTCTCACAGTTCTGGAAGCTGGGACGTCCAAGATCAAGGCAGCAGCAAGTTCAGCTATCTGGTGAGGGCTGCTGTCTGCTTCCAAGATGGTATCTTGATGCTGTATTCTCTACAGGGGAGAAACGCTGTTTCCTCACATGATGGAAGAATGGAAAAGTGAAGAAAAGGAATAAAAGTATTCTTGTTAATCCCTTTTAAAATGGCATTAATCTATTCATGAGGATGAAGCTCTCAAGACTTAAGCACCTCCCAAAAGACTCCAAGTCCCAACACGGTTGTACTGGGAATTAAGTTTCCAACACATGAATTTTAGGGGTGACATTCAGACCATAGCACCATATATACACATTATTCTTACAGAAATGAGAGTAAAGTATAATATTAGACTTATACCTATGCTTCTTCAAAATCCATCTTTTCTGACCTCCATCTCAAGTTGAGACAGCAAGCCCCTATTAGTTACTAATTAGAGATGTGTTACATATCACAAGAGTGCAGGGGAAGAAAATGTTTGAGAGCCACTGGTTAATATCATTAGATGTTTTATTAATCATGAGGGGCCTGAATGAAATTCCGGCCCAGAAGTTCTGCCTAGCTGATGACAAAGGCAGTAGAATTCTTAGAAGCATCATTACTTGAACAAGTCAGTATTTTTTAATGTCCAGAATTACTAAGCAGTATGAGTGAATCAGAAAAAGCAAATCAAAATTTGTCTTCTTTGAGTTTCCATCATAGTGAGAAAATTCTAATAAATCTTGGAGAACAAATAAATTTTAAAATAAAGAAATATACTTCAAGGTTGAGATGAAAATAATTTAAGGCAAGTATCTATTGCCCAATTATCTGTATTATTTGTTATTAAATATAAATTCTACTTTTCCATAAAATATTTAAGGTGGATTTTAAAACATGTATGTCACTATAAACACATATGTTTAATGTATATTCTTATTTGTAGCAGCATTACAAATAAAAAGTGAAGTCAGAAATGGCAAAGGGAAAGCAGTTGTTCTGCTCACCAGGGATAAGGTGGTTTGTAGAAGTACACATTATATTGGTTTTGGGAGTCCTTGGTTTTCAAGGAATGAGTACTCGAATAGGCTGCATTGGTCCTTGTTGATATTATTTACTTTATCACTTTGGAGTAGATTTTATTGTCCAAACTCAGGTTAACATTCTGCTGTGGAACCAAAATAGTTGATTTCTAAAAATGAATGATGATAGGTTTATAGGATTTCAGCAATTTACTCCTGTACAATCATTTCTTATGGCCTCTCACTTTCCCTTACAAGCTATGTGATTGCAGTATCCCACACACTCTGGTTTGGTGAAAAGTAAGAAGTGCTGACTGCTGTGTTTTTTTCCCCATATTATCTAAATCTACATAGAATCAGTCTTATTCTCCCTCCCTCCCTTCCTCTCTTTTTCTCTCTGTTTCTCTTTCTCAAACACACACATACACAAATTCTCTCTCTCTCTCTCTTAAGTTTCCTGGCTAAAACAAAGGGTGACTTCAGTAGTCATCAAGATCCTTCCTGTCTTTGCTATATTTGGCTTCTTCCTATTTTATTCCCCCTGGCTCCTCAGGTCCTTCTGACTCCCTGACTTGCCTATTTCCTTGAACTCTGAACATCCTGTCCTATTATCGCTTTGTGTAGTAGTCACACTGTTGTCTTTGACAATGAAAGGTCTTTGGTGTCTTTGAGGATTCTAATTTTCTTTCTTTTTTCTTCTTTCTTTCTTTTTTCTTTTTTGCAAAGAAAAAAACTATGCAAAGATTTATTTTTTCTTTCAATAATTAGAATTTAATTCATTAAAGTTATAAGTTCAAAAACCTAGATCTTCCTTAAGAGTAAGTCTAAATTTTAGCTTGCAAGTCTTACCATTGGAATTTATAAGTCCAGCAACTTTTTAACCATCACATTTATTAAGTACTATTGGAATAATATTTGGTGCCATTTCACATTTAATTAGCAAAAACCTTCACAGATATTTAGATAAATTTATAAATTAAATATATTCAATATAATTCTTAAGCATTTCCATTGTCCAAAAAGGAAGTCGTGTTCAAAATGAAAAGATGCTCATTTCCCATAGTAAATAATTCCAATCGATATGACAAATGTAAAAATACTTTTTATTTCCCTGCAATTTACATAAAATAGTATAACCTTAACTGAACTCTGCCCTCTGACACCTCATCCCAAGAGACTGTGGTTTTCTTCTTCCGTTCTAGTTGGCTGTCATGCTGTTGAATATTTTCCTGAGGGGAAAAAAACCATATAAATGTGATATTATCCCATGCATTTCTTTCATCAGTTTCTGCCTGTTTTTATTCTCTCTTCATTGCTTTCAAATAGTTGTCTTTTAATAACATGTCCAAGTTTTTCATTGTTTTCTGTGGGAGGGTTAGTCTGATACCAACTACTTTGTCTTTACCTGAACTGGGCCTCTTGAACCAGAGGCTCTTGATTTTTCACCTGTTCAATGATTATAAGGTGAAGGCTGGGAAAATAAAGATGTCCCAGATAAATACCCAACAACAAATTATATCTTACTTTATAAGCAAGGCTGGAAACATTAAATGTAACATTCATACTTGTTGTGTGTCATACCAGTAATGTAAGATGTTTGAAATTCTGTTTTGTTACCTGCAAAGCTATTAGTCTACTAGTAAGACAATCTTGGCACCAAGAGAGAAGCTGCTTTTTTTTTGACTGTGTGAGCAGCAGTTCTCTTGAGTTGGCTGTGGCACACAGTTGGATTTTTGAAACTGTGATCCAGAATAAATGTGATTCATTCTTCCTCAAGTTGCCTAGATACCTGACAAATAGCAAAGTATTATCCTTTTAGTCTTCAAAAAATAATGGCTATGTCTTTAGTGTGTTGAGACACTTAAGCAGACATTAGTAACTATGAATTTTATTGGTTTAAAATTACAGTAAAATTTGTTACTACTCAATTTGAAACTTATATTTTTAAAAAGTGTTTCTTTAAAAGTTATGAAGTAAAAGTATCAAGAGACTAGTACAGAGAAGGATTATGGAGGAGATCATTTTCATTGAAACTCAATACATAAAGTGCATCTGAGAATAAGGGGAAAAAGGTGGGAAGACGGGATAGTAAGCCCTTTTGTGACCCAACCTAAGCCAATTTTGCTGGCCAACAATATTAGCAGCTCAAGTGAATAGATACAGGTGGGTTCTCCATGTCCACTTTTCACCTTCATGCTACCAGTTGATATTTTCTTATAAAAGCAAGTCTTTGACCCAGATTCTGCCTAATGTACATCTACTAGCAGATAGGGGAAAATACAGTCATATCATCTTGCTAACTCTGTCCATCTCTGTTCTCTGCTCCTCTGACAAGCATATCATGTGAAAGATTCACCCTGAGCTCAATGCAACAATACTTTGATGGCAGGGTCAGCCAACACTTAGCTGGGCCAATGGACAGAGTAGTCCTTGAAGTGGAGTGATCCAAGGCTTTTGGACTCTGAATCTCAAATGATTTATAATTTGATTTTGTTGAATTTTTCTGCCTTCTTTGTTTATGCTCACATCCTTTTTTTCTAGCCAATCATATGTCTCAGAAACTATTCACTTCAATAATGAAAACCTATTGATAAGCTTTCTTACATGAAAAAATCTTCTTGTAAAGATTTTGATAAAATGTTTGAAGTGCTTAAGCGTATTTCTTGAGTGTGGATTCCTCTTTAATCTATTTCAAATGCCTCTGTCATGAGGATTCAAGTCAAACTATACACGTTGTATTAATCCATTTTCTGTTGCATAACGAAATACTACAGACTGGGTAATGACAGAACTTTATTTCGCTCATGGTTCTGGATGCTAGGAAGTTCAGTAGCAAGGGGCTGGCGTCTGGTGAGTATCTTCAGCTGCGTCATCCCATGGTGGAAGGGCAGAGGGCAAAGGACAGGAGAGTGCATGGAAAAGAGAAAGGCACCAGAGGCCAGACTTGCTATATAACAACCCACTTCTGTGATAACTAACATACTTCCTCAATATTGACATTAATCCTTTCCTGAGGACTTTGCCCTCATGACTCAGTCACCTCTTATTAAGCCCTATCTCCTAACACTGTTTCATTGGGGATCAAGTTTCACTGGGGGACATATACAAACCACAGCACTTGCATACTTTACACTGCTTATGATGTTTTTTGTTTTTTTTTTTCCTTTGAGATGGCGTCTTGCTTTGTCACCCAGGCTGGAGTGCAGTGGTGTGATCTCGGCTCACTGAAACCTCCACCTCCCGGGTTCAAGCGATTCTCATGCTTTAGCCTCCCAAGTAGCTGGGATTACAGGGCCTGCCACCACACCCAACTAATTTTTGTATTTTTAGTAGAGATGGGGTTTCACTGGGTGTGGTGGCTCATGCCTGTAACCCCACCACTTTAGGAGGCCAAGGCGGGCGGATCGCCTGAGGGGAGGAGTTTGAGACCAGCCTGGCCAACATGGTGAAGCCCTGTCTCTACAACAGTTTTAAAAAGCAATTTATTATAGAGATAATACCCTCAAGCACAATCAGATTTGTCTAGAATTTCTTAGCCCAAATGAGTAGATTTGAATTACCACTCGTGCACTGAGGGTGGACATTGCAAATGAATAATTAACTGCTTCTCTGAGTGGAGGAGGAAAAAATATCAATTCTTCTGAGTTCTCAACTGAGGCCTCTGTAACAAAAGATTGATTAACAAGAGAAAAGTGTACACATTTATTTCATATAAGTTTTACATGATGCAGGAGCCTTCATAAGAAAGTGAGGACCCAAAGAAGTGGTTAAACCTGAGTGTTACTACGAGAGGTTTGATGAAGAGTGGAGAGTTGTGAAGAAATATGACAGGACAAAGGGGAAGTGAATGAGGTAAATTATAAAGTGGTGGGAACTTGAAGGCCTCTTTGTTTACATTCCTCCATGTGTCCCTTTGTCTTTGGCAGTAAGGATGCTCCTTGCTCCTTTTCTCCAGGTACAGGAAGGGTGCCTCTCACATGAGTGTGTTATGACATGTTTCTGGGAAAGGTCAGAAAGTCCTTCCTGCACATGACATTTCTGAAATTCCTTTAACTTAAAATATTCAACATGCTAAGGTGCAATATTTTGAGGTAGCATGTCCTGAATGCTGCCTTCTGCTAGGATTAAATATAGATTCATGATCTTTAACAGCAAATGCAGCTACTACCAATCAGAATCTTCAGTTAAGATACAACATGTTATCCTTTCCTTAGTCCTTCCTCAGTTTAATATCAAACATTAGTTTTATTTAAACATCTAGGTAATAAGCAACATTCTCCATTTTACATCTATGACAGCAGATTCAGGGAATACACATTTGACTTTGCAGTCATTAAGAATTTGTGGGGTTTTGTTTTTTGATTTTTGTTTTTCCTAATGAAGATGAATAAAGTGGGAGGAAGTTCAGTCCTGAGTATTACAGCTTTAAAAGATGTCAACATTTCAGATGATTGCTTAGAAGCTGTAGCAGCAAGGAGACCACCTATGAGGAAAATAGAGATAATTACAAACAACAATCACAGCTGTTAACAGCAGCACTCATAACACATCCTCAGCATGAAAAAATTGTAACTAATGCGTCAGTTGTTTAGTCATACTCAGTCACTGTGCTGGATCGAGCCTAGACAATGTGTAGACAAAGCCAACACTGAAAGCATAAGAGGTCAGAATTATAGTCCATAATTTACATTGCATGAGAAGTTTTTAATCATTTCAGAATCAAGGCCCAGAGGCTTAATTTATTTTGCATAAGAAATATATTATCCAAAGGTTACATATCAATCAACTCTGCAACGTTTCTTACCATACTTTAACATAGATGGCACTTGAATCATTATGCTTATGTTTCTCAACTTTCATAAAGAACCACCCTTCACTGCAGAATATTGTGCTGTGCATTCTATAGTTCCAAAGCCATTTAGGAAACCCTTCATCATTCCTAGACAGGGACATATAACTTTTAGTAGCCAAGGACTGAATTATGTTGGACTCTTCTCCAGAAAAATAATTATGATTTATTTAAGAATATTAATTTTTGGAAACATTTATTCATTTCATTTCCTGTAAAGTATATTTATTATTGGAATTGTTTTGTAAATGTCTGTTTCCCTCTAATTTCTTTTGCATTAATTTTTTACCAAGCCCACAGGATAACCAGCAACCATGACAAATCAAGTAATATAAAAAATAAGCCATGTATAAAAATAATAATTGCGTAAGTCCAAGAGATTAATTCAAGTTCTGACAAAATCACATATAATTTAAACAAACATTCTTTATTCTACTTTGAAATAACCAGCATAATCAGAATATATTAAAATTTAGAAATAAGGTGGAGTTAGATAGTATTGCATTGCCTCTTCACTTTGTGTTCCAAATCTGAAAATCCTGTTAACATAAATTATATGCATTTGAAATGTTGATTGGCACCAAAAAAGGTGTCTGTTCTTGGCAAAGTGTTACTGTATAACGTGTTTGCTTAAGGGACTCTGAACTGCAGAAAAATATTGATGAATTTAGTTTCTGTTTGAAGTGAATATGGGTTATCTGATGTGTAGTGAGATTTAGTTGGAGGTATCTAGTTGAGAGACAAAAGCAAATGGATTAGTTGCAGCCTTGGCTATAAATGAGCTTGCATGGGGAAATGTATAAAGGAACATCTCCTATCCTAAGTGAAGAGAAATGCAAATAATGTGTTTAGACTTAGACAACTTAAGGAGAAGGGAGAGATATTAAGGGAATTCCTGTATCATAACTTTTGTTTTCTCTTAGAAGAAGAAAGATGAGGTCAGTTTTAAAACCCAGGATGATTTTTTTTTTCTTAGAAGTCTGGAAAGCAGCTCCATTTCTTTTTCAAACCTTAGTTTGTTGGGTTTTTTTCCCAAATCTATTTTATCTCCTGCTAATGGTGATTTTGGGGGAACTTAGTAGAAAAGCTTAATTTTGCCATATACCCAGACCCATGGCAATGTGAAGATGTGCACGAGTGAGGTGATGACAGTATAAAAACTGCTTTCTTACTTTCATGCTTTGCCCCATCTTTTATTTGTGACAGTCAAAGAATTTGGAAAGTTTTGAATATATCCAAAAATAATAATGCTTTCTACCTATAAAGTATATTTTCTTAGCGCTGTCACATATAATAAATATTATACTTGACCTGAACACTAATTCTGAAAGTAGAAAGGAAAGATATTCTTATTATGAAGAAGACAGTAACACTAACAACATCTCACATTTACAGGGCATCTGATACTATGCAAAGTGTTTTCACATGATTTTCTCATTCCAGTTTCAAACAAATTTTCAGAGTATCAGGACTATTTGCAGTAGAATAAATATGATTAGCTAGTATTCACAAAAATTGCTCAAGGTCACTTATGACCAAAGAAGTATAAATTAAAATTATTTAAAAAATGTTTCACCTATCAAATAATTGAGAGAATGATACATTCATTTTGTCAAAGGCATGTGCTGGCAAAAAAGGTACTGTTGTAGGCTGCTGGTAAAGTTATAGTTTGTTATATTCTTTCTGGATGACATTTTGGCACTAGAACTTTAAGAAAAATGGGAGATATAAACAAAAGGGTACGTGTAAATGAATTCATTTCAGGGTTATTTATAATGTGGAATATTAGAAATCACATTTATTTGGGCAAATGTAATTTAAGTCTCTCATCTTGGAACACGCGGAGACCTTGGAAATGGAGGCCCTATTAAACAAACAAAAGATGGAAGAAGCCTAGGATCAGAGCTACCTTAATTGTCTGTATTACACACTCCTACCTTTAAATGAGAACAATAAAATGCTTGTGTAAGGCACTGCACTATTCTTTTAGGGGTCTCTTGCTACAGCAAGATCCAATTCTAACTGACATATTTATATTTGTTTGTTTATGTATATGTGAATACATATATTTAATATTTTAAAAGTTGTGTTTTGGGAAACCTCCCAGTGCTTTTATTATAAACATAGAAACAGTGTTACTAGATAAATTGCAGGGATGGGCCTGGGGCGGTGGCTCATGCCTGTAATCCCAGCACGTTGGGAGGCCAAGGCAGGCAGATCATGAAGTCAAGAGATCAAGACCATCCTGGCCAACATGGTGAAACCCTGTCTCTATTAAAAATACAAAAATTAGCTGGGCGTGGTGGCGTGCACCTGTAGTCCCAGCTACTCTGGAGGCTGAGGTAGGAGAATTGCTTGAACCTGGCAGGAGGAGTTTGCAGTGCACCACTGCACTCCAGCCTGGTGAAAGAGTGAGACTCCATCTCAAAAAAAAAAAAAAAAATTGCAGGGATGAGCCCAAATGGTAACAAATGACTTGGTAGCTTGTTGCAAAGCCAACAGATATTAAAAACCTAAAGTTATTTTTAAAACTATTGGGATGCATTTCTCTGATTAAACTAGTTTAGGTAATATCTTTTGTTCTGAATTTAAGACTTGATGATCCTGAGATTTATTTTAGCTTTATGAATCTATGGTTGATGTAGCAGCCACGTTTATTATTTGAAGAAAGTGAGAAAGATGGTGTTAGGTATTCCTCAGAGAGAAATTGAAGTTTTAATTATTATAGGACATAATATGAGGGAAAGAGATATTGAACAGTTCAAGTCCAAGCCCAAGAAATTTTCACTCAATATTTTAAAATAGAATAGTGTGCTTAGTCAATTAGGAAGCTCTTGATGTTGGTTTTCACTGGGCAAAATTTTGGCCACCCAAGGTATTATAATGCTTCCAAATTAATAAAGAGAAAACTTTCTTTTAAATATTGAGTAATGTTCCCTTTTGGCTTCCACTTAAAACTGATGCTACAAAAACTATGTAATATTTTTCACTAGTCTACTGTGAATGCATATTTTGTAGTATAAATTAAAGGCCGTCCTCACAGTTACTGAAATCTGCAAAGTTAAATTCAACGTGGTGGGCTGTAGAAAATTCCCAGATTTCTTCTCTTTTTGCCTTATTACAGTGAAGATAGTTGACATTTTAACTATTAACACAGCTTGGCTTAAAGAATACAGTGTTTGTCTTCTACTTCAGATGTCCTTCCTGTCCTCTCAGAAGACACTGTTTCTTTTACGATAATCCTCATACTGCTTAATCTTCATATAGCATCTTATATTATTTAATATTATCTCCTTTCTCCCTCCCTTTGTTCCTTCTTTTTTTTTTCGTTTTTAGTTACTGAGATCAAAATGTTGGTGCTACTATCGATAAAAACAATGGGAGATTGTGGCTTAATTTGAGCAGCCAATTGGCCATAAAATACTCCCCAAGAGTGCATTTATCCACCTGGACACTGGCAGAGATGAACCTGCAAGGCAGCCTGTTCCTGTTACGCTTACCACACTGTGGGGAGCAGAAATGGCCTCTTTATCTTAAGAAGACTTGGTGGATCCAAAGGAGAGCTCTGCCCTTCTGAAAACTCTCTCAGCCCTTGGTTTCTGTCTCTGAACCTCTTGTCCATCTAGTTTCTTTCTTCATTGCTGCCTCCTCTTTCTTTACCTTGCCATCCTGAGACATGGGCATTCCTGAGGTTCAGTTTTCATCTTTATACCCTCTCCCTTAGGGGTCATCTTCTTCATTTGTAGTTCACCTATTAACTCTATGAGGGCAGGCACCAAATATATTTCTCCAGCCCCAGATTCTGGGCTCCCCACTGGACATCAGTTCAGAAAACTTGTTTTCAAAATTAAATGCATTCTCTTTTTCCTTATAAAAACATCCTTTGATGTCCACATTTTTTTTTTTTTTTTGCTGCTGTATCACCACTTTCCAGCCACCCAGACGCAGAAAGTCTGATATCCTCTCCTTTAATCAGGCATTCCTTTGCCATGTCTCCTGAATCCATCCCTTCCTTTCCATTCCCACTGATAGATACTGCGCCAGCTCCATCCGCTGTGAGATCAATCAATTGCACTGAATCTGAAAGGGCCACACGAAGTTTAGTTTATACTCCCTGTGCTTTCAGCTTCTCCTTCCAGTTCACCCTGCATCCATCAATCTTCTTTAAGGTTAATCTCCCTCGCATTAGAGATTAAATCCCTTTCTTCTGTGTTTGAGGGCTCACACAATTTACCTTTTATAAACCTTTCGAGCTAATCTCCTTTTCTCACACAAACCTTTTAATCCAATCCAACTTATCTAATCACTATTCCTTTAATGTTGTTTTCCTCCATGTCTTTGCTCACTTAGTTTTCCCTACCCAGGGGGTCTTCAACACATTTCTCTATCAAAATCCTACTCCTTTATGGCCCAAATTAAACCTCACCACTTTTTGTATGCTTCTCTCGACTTAAAATTCTAAATGTTGCCTTTTAAACTCAACAATGAGTTTTTATAGCACTTTTTGTTAGTAATCAGTTTTATGCTATTTTTGCTTTTATATCTTTCAATATGTCTTGTTTCTAGTTAGATTATAAGCTACTTGAGGAGAAGAAGTTTATTTATATCTTCTTCACCATATGGAATTATCAATTGTTAGCTGGAGATTTTCTTTTATTACAAAGCTTTTCATCTCCCACTTGAGGTCATCTTCTATTTGGAAACTTTTCACCTTCCTCTGAGGCTGTTTTCTATTACATAACTTTTCACCTTCCTTTGCTCCTTTGCTTCCTTTGCATGAGTGATGAATACTTCTGAATTTTATTATTCAATATTAGTACCTAAATAATAGGAATTGAATTTTTCTTGATGATATATGTACTTAGGTTTTTCCCCACTTGGGGTGCCAATGCATGTTTCAGTTCATTAATACTTTTACTTTTCATTATATTTTTTATTTTACTTTAAATTTTCATATAGTAATTGTACATATTTAAGGGGTACATACTGATGTTTGGATATTTTTAAGGTATCATGACCAGACCAGGGTAATTAGCATATCCATCATCTCAAACATTTATCATTTCTTTGTGTTGGGAACATTCAATATCCTCCTTTTAGTTATTTGAAATTACATAATATGAAAGATAATTACATATTATATGGTTAATAAGTTAACCATATAATATATAGGATATAGTTATATATAATAAGAATATATAGGACTATATAACTATACATTATATAGTTATACTATATATAATATAACTATATCCTATATAATTAAAATAATATACAGTTACACATAACAGATATATACAGATATATATAATATATAACTCTATATAATATATAGTTAATTATACAGGATAAATAACTATAGTTATCCTACAGTGCTATAGAACACTAGGGCTTATCCTCTTATTTAATATATAGTTACACATAACTATATATTATATATAGTTACATATCTATATATTATATACAGTATATATAAATATATAACTTTCTATATAATATATAGTTAATTATATAGGATAAATAACTATAGTTATCCTACAGTGCTATAGAACACTAGAGCTTATCCTCTTATTTAACTGCAATTTTACATCCTTTAATAAATCTCGTTATTTACCATCCTTCTATTCCACCCTGGAAGGGCTCTTAGGGTCTTTAGAGTTCTAAGGCTCTATTTATCTTTGGTAAATAATATAATCATGCTTAAAAATAATCAACCCCAGGAAATCAGCAAAACAAATTTCCTCCTTGTTTAACCACATGCAAAATTCCCAGATTTAAACTATGTCTGCTCCATAAGAAGATTATTCTCTTACAATCTATAAAGTTTTAAAGAAGTTTCCAAGATTAAAGGTAGCACATAGCCAACCCAGGATCCAGCAAAACTAAGCAAAAGACTTTTCCCAAAAAGATAGTGTGGCTATCTTGAGTCTGGGAAATGATCTCCACAATCCCCGCCATAAAGTGATGTGTGTTGACAAGTAGGCTAATAGCAGATTCCCTTTCAGCTTTGAAAGCAATGTTTGGAAGCTGGCAGTAAGAAAACCAGTACAGTAAAAACAGTTGCCTAATTACAAAAAACTCATTGCTTACATTTCAGTATGAAGCCAGAATTTGTTTGAATACATGGAATTCATGTTGTTCTAAAACACAGCTAAATAAATAAATAAGCGGTTTACATAGTTTGCCATACTTTTGCTATTCTTTTGCAAAAGAGCATAGGAGAGCATGACCATCAAGTGATAACAGTTGCTGACAGAGAAAGCCCTGTGTTCTCAAATGTGAAGTAATTTTGACTTTTATATATTGAAAGCAGCATTGAGTTGCAGCCAATTCAGAGATATAAAGATCTGTAGAATTCTCTTTAAAATAATTTTTATTGATTCATCTGTAAGCAGAAGTATGAGAATCCAATTTTCCATAAACTGCTTTCACCAAATATTTGTGAAAATATTCCATCAGAAATACCTCTCTTCCCTATCTCTTCCCAGATGACTGCAGCATATAGACAATCCAAGCTTAAGTCAATTAAAACACAGCTAACCACACGTTTCCCAGTAGCAGATGAATGTGGATTCAAGTCCACTCTTAAATGATAGCACAGCCTTCTAGCACATACTCAGTTCTGGCGAATTGACAAACATCATCTCATAAATAGCAAAGAGGGGCTCTCTCAAGTAGATGTATCTGGGTTAAAATACTGGGTGTATGAATCACTCTTACAATTGTAATGGTGACCCAGGAAAAATATCAGTCTCTAATTCTGGGAACTTAAGATATTTGCTTGAAGAGCAACTTTGACGACTGGATTTCATTTTCAGGACTCAACAAGACATTTTTGTAATACATCAAATCCAAGTCTGAAATCATTCCTGCGGCTGTTTATGGCTACTGTCTCAGCCAGTCCAAGTGGAGGTTAAAGTTGATACTTCCACGTAGCTTCCTATTCTGAAGTTGGGCATTTTTCTGCTCTTTGGCAGTTTGTGACTTGTTAAGGACCTCAGTGTATTGCTTGCAATCTGTATCTTGATTGCTAAGGTTTTCAGACTTTGTTTTTAAAAATCTTTGGATTATTTTATTTGCAAGTACTAGTTTTAATTGATCATGTTCATCATATACTTAGAAATTAAAGAGACAGTATCTGGTTAGATGCTTGAGACATTACTGAGCAAAAGGCAAAAATCAAAGGTTTAAATAAGTAGGTGAAATGTATGGATCTTAATGACTTACCTATGTAAGTGAGCTTCTTAAACACAATTACTGAGAGTCATTGTATCAGGTACTTTACTGAAGTTATATTACATATCTGTCATGATGAGTATAAAATAGGGGTAAGTAGACCATGTCATGGACATTTGCTACTTTTTGAATTGCCTTCATCTTTTTCTTCCTGAAACTACCCATCCAGATAATTCCAGTGGTATATTCTATAATTGTGTCTTCATCTCCTTTTGACATAAATCAAATTCACCAATCTGTATCTAATTCCACTATCCAAAGTTATTGTCTCAAGGGTGGGCAGAACTCAAGAAAAGCCATTCAGAATCCGTTTTGGAGATTAGTGTGACTTTTGAGGGAGAGACATGTGGCCTTTTTAACTGAATTGTCTGGTATCATTAATACATATACCTGGAAAGGCAAGGGCCCATCTTTGCTTCTCCATGGGGAGAATCCTCCTGTAAACTAAGTCAACCCGGAGGACAGCAGA
The DNA here is from genome assembly GCF_000001405.40 of Homo sapiens. NCBI lineage: Eukaryota > Metazoa > Chordata > Mammalia > Primates > Hominidae > Homo > Homo sapiens. Next base: position 83,788,880 of record NC_000005.10, read on the forward strand.
ACCGATAAATTATGTCAATCCATACATTCTTTCTTTCTTTCTCTTTTTGCTGTGAGCCAATTTTGTTAGGGTTTCTGGCATTTACAACCAGAAGAACTCTAACTAATATTTCTTTTTAATTGTACACACATGAGATTATCTGAGTTGTCCAAATACACACAGCAAGTAGGTGGTAGGCCTAGGATTTGAACACAGGTTTCTTTGATTCCAGAACATTGGTGATATAATGACCTTGAGGGCAGCATGGGAAATCTTGGAACTAGTCTTTTATTTAAATATCAAGATAACCTTGGACTATGATTCCAAATTACGCAAACCATTTTCTTCCCAAGAAATTTTTGTATGCCCCTGAAATGATAAGGGGAGGAGATAGCCCAACAGATTCTAGCACATACCTTTTTTGTTGTTGTTAAGACAATCTTGAAGAATGCTTCCTTATCTTAAACTGGGCAAGTGAGAATATTTCATGGAAATTGTCTTTTTACTTCTATCAGTGCTGGCTTGCATTTGTTATAAATCCTGATGTTTACAGTTGTACAAATAGTCAATGTAATTTAATATCAGTTCATGAGAAATGCTGAGAAAATCCCTTGATTTTCATCACCAACCTCTCCTAAAGTGGACCTTCCTGATATGTACTTTCACAAGCCAAACAGGGACTGTTTTTCCTCTCTGGTCTCTGCTGTGTTTTGATGACCCAGCTGGTAAGAGGTCACTGCTTGGAAGGCACAGATAACTGTAACAAGGGAAAGCTGCTTCTTTGATGTCCCAGACATTTAGTGAGGTCTAATAGTGTGGTAAATATTCGTGGACCACTACATATATCACCTTTGATAAGAATTCTTTTCAAACCAGGATATTCCAAAATTTGTTCTAATATGTTGAAAAAGAAGTTACAATGTTGAAACAGAATGTATGGTTTTTAGTTGTAAAGATGACCACCTTCATTTCATACTCAAATTTAAATCTCTTAACAAACATTTATGAGGATAAGTTTGCAGGTATCTAATGATTGAAGTGTTTCAGATTTAGCAGATGCAATGAGAATTTGTGAATGGTAGATGGGTCTCACAGTTGGTCAAGTTTTTATTTTTTGGATCTTTTGTTTACCTCAAAGCAGAAAGAAAACCATTATGATACTGATACCAAAAGTTAGGATTCAAATATTCAACACTTATTAGAGCAGGCATTTTAAACTCAGTTTACCTAAGTTCCAGGATGGAGGCTGAGTTTAAAATCCTATCAAAATTACTTTAAAGTGTGTTTGTATTGCTTGCTATCCAATTATATTTAGTTTTTTAATAAAAGACTCTACCTCTGTTGTCATAAAATCTAGTATTTTGGGATTACAATAAATTAGCAGATAGCTCTAGTTTAGTATCAATTTTTAAAGGCTTTTTAGAAGCAATAGTATGTTATAAAATGCAAATTGGAAAGTTAAACATGGTGAGTTGACTAGCTGTTAACCTCTCCTGCCTCCTGAAACTAAAATAAAATGACAATAAAGGTATTTTTAAGGTTATAAATAAACAAGAACAAAGAGATTGGAAGAGGAGACATCAGCAATGAAATGCTGGAAGCTGAAGAACAAATGGAAGAGTGGTAATTGACTTAGCAGATCCTAGAAAGCCAAGTCCTAATCAGACACGGGAAGCAAAACACTAGTTTGAAGCAAACTGATTTACACCAGGAGACCTCCAAAGGGCTTGAGAATTGCTGACACTAAACACTGCTGGAAGTGGAGATGAAGGTGAACTAAAAACAGGGTGTTTGGTTGAAGTCTTTTAAGAAAAGTTAGTCCTCCAGGGCTCACCTCTACTCTGTGCAGCCCAGCATTGCTCCTGCTCCATGCTCGCAGGTTCTAGAAGTGAGACCTTCTAGAACAGAATGCCTCACTGTAGGCAGAATGAAAGTGAAGATTTATGTGCTCTATGTTGACTCTCCAATTCCTAGATGTTATGATATTTTCAAGCAGGAGAGCAAAGAGCAAAGGAACTATCTCTAGAGAATCTCACTGGACCCTGAAGTAAAGATACTGAGTGTCCTTAATGGATTAATGTAGGCAAACAATAAAAGAATACTCATGCGACATCCATCTTCCTCCACCACATGTAGATCTTCTTATCAACAGTTTATGGTACACACACACACACACACACACACACATCCAAACAGATAGTTAATAATGACCACTTATGGCATAGAATGATGAAGGGGTTATAAAAATCACATTTCAATTATTTATGTATTCTTTGAAAAAAGTTTAAAGATTATATTACCTTTATTTTTATTTTTAACTTGGTAACTTTTATGAAAGTTATACATGAACACAAGTTAGAATAAATAGCTCTTATTTCAAAAAACAGCATGCTTCTGTCCTCCCATGTGTCACGCTTCGTGGTTTCTAGAAGCAACCTTTTTCAAATCCTTTAACAATTTTTTTTATTAATTTGTATTAATCTGAGTAATTTGCTTAAATTGCTTCTTCTTGACCTTTGAGTTTAAAATACGACTGACTTTTCACTGTGAAGAGGAGGCTACCATCACATCCATTCATACTTTCCATCTTTCACTTGCTCGGTATAAGGAAATCATAATTTTTATTACATCAACATTCATTTCTCAGTTGTGGTACCCTATGTTGTATACTAAGATAATGTTTCTTTTCTGCAAGTTTTGTTGACACTGTTACTATAAACCTTTTTTTTGTTTGTTTTTCTAGACGGAGTGTCAATCTGTTGATGGGCTGGAGTGCAGTGGCGTGATCTCAGCTCACTGCAACCTCTGCCTCCCAGGTTCAAGAGATTCTCCTGCCTCAACCTCCTGAGTAGCTGGAACTACTGGTGTGTGCCACCACGCCCAGCTAATTTTTGTATTTTTAGTAGAGATGGAGTTTCACCATGTTGGCCAAGATGGTCTGGATCTCTTGACCTCATGATCCGCCCCCCTCGGCCTCCTAAAGTGCCGACTAATAAATATTTTATTTCTATATTCCCCCACCTGTTTCTTAAGTCTTCTCTAAGTTAACTCAAACATGTCAGACATTTCAATATATTTTGCAGAAAAAGTTTCTCATACAGTAAGGGTGTGCTTCAATAAAAAGTACTCTTTTGAACTTCTTTCTGGGGATTATTGTCACTTCTGTCTTATGTTATACATCTTTTCCATTTTGTTAATATATAAATATAGTAGTCAAAATAATAACTCAACGAACTATTCTCTTTACTAGTAAAGGTTTATCTAACACTGCAATCTTCAGATGCATGTTCTAGAGTGTTTTATTATTCTTAATTTATTTAGAAATTCCAGTGAAAGGTTAAGATAAATCATTTTGGAAAAATTAGATTAAACCAGAATCTTTTTGACATAGAAAATAACATGAATACAAGAAACAGACATTGGGGGAAATCTTTACCATTTAACATAACAATAAAATTGTTCAGCACAACTCATTTATTGACTCAAGTATTGTCATTGTACATGCTGTAACAGAGCAATGAGCTATAACAAGAGTTTTTAGATAATCTGTGTTTTAGATTATAAATAGAAATATCAACTCATCTGAGGAGTTCTCACCTCTGTAAGAAATGATTCATATTAATAACCATATTCAGATTTATTGGCATTTTGTGATTCAGTTTTCGGGCTAAAAATATATTTTCCTTTCTTTGTTAAAACATATGCCTGTGTATTTATACTTAGTCCTGAGCAGAAAAAAATAATACGGAAGATGCCACAATTTAAATATTATAATCTCCTTAAGAAGAAGTTTTATTCTTTGGGAAAAGTTGCATTTTTATGCTTGATACAATGAATTAATCTTTAGCTCCTCTTACTTCTGCATAAATGGCTATCTGATTGCTTATATATTCAGAGTAGACATTCCTAATTTAAAATACAGAACCTAATCATTCTATTTTCCTTGCTTTGGAGGCCTTGCTTTACTAGCTAACCATTCATCAGTGGACTTTAAATTGCTGTAGGCAAGCAGAAAAGGATTTCCTTCTTTACATTTTCTTAGTATATTTTCACAGAAAAGAATATTAATAGATGTGTAAAAATCCCCTGAGAACTTTTGCAGCCATTGCAATTTAGAGATGTTATTGAATTGGCTTAAAAAGTATGAAATAAGAGAAACAAAAATATTAGGCTAAGAAAGCTACAGTTTGGTTTTTTAAAAATATTTCTGTGATAAGAAAAAACAAAGGTTTCAGCTGCCAACCATAGAGCTTCAAAACATACAGCTAAGCAAAGACTGACATACTCACATATACCATCTCACTAACACAATTGTTAGATGATGGTGGAAAATGCAGCCACCAATCTCATTTTTTTTAATTTTTGTTTTGAGACAGGATCTTGCTCTGTCAATCTGGCTGGAGTGCAGTGGTACAAACACAGCTCACTGCAGCCTTGACCTTCCGGGCTCAGGCCATCTTCCCACCTCAGCCTTCTGAGAAGCTGGGACTACAGGCATGCACCACCATGCCTAATACTTCACTTTTTTTTTTTTTTTGTAGAGACAGGGTTTCACCATGTTGCCCAGGCTGGTCCAAAATTTCTGGGCTTAAATTATCCTCCTGCCTCAGCCTCCCAAAGTGCTGGGATTGCAGGTGTGAGCAACTGTGCCCTGTCAGATATCATTCTTTTTTTTTTTTTTACTAATCTCATGGCAGGCTTTATTTCTTTTTCACTATATTTCTTTTTTTTTAAATTATTTTATTTTATTTTATTTTGTTTTTTATTATACTTTAAGTTTTAGGGTACATGTGCACATTGTGCAGGTTAGTTACATATGTATACATGTGCCATGCTGGTGCGCTGCACCTACTAACTCGTCATCTAGCATTAGGTATATCTCCCAATGCTATCCCTCCCCCCTCCCCCCACCCCACAGTAGTCCCCAGAGGGTGATGTTCCCCTTCCTGTGTCCATGTGATCTCATTGTTCAATTCCCACCTATGAGTGAGAATATGAGGTGTTTGGTTTTTTGTTCTTGCGATAGTTTACTGAGAATGATGATTTCCAATTTCATCCATGTCCCTACAAAGGACATGAACTCATCATTTTTTATGGCTGCATAGTATTCCAAGGTGTATATGTGCCACATTTTCTTAATCCAGTCTATCATTGTTGGACATTCGGGTTGGTTCCAAGTCTTTGCTATTGTGAATAATGCCGCAATAAACATACGTGTGCATGTGTCTTTATAGCAGCATGATTTATAGTCCTTTGGGTATATACCCAGTAATGGGATGGCTGAGTCAAATGGTATTTCTAGTTCTAGATCTCTGAGGAATTGCCACACTGACTTCCACAATGGTTGAACTAGTTTACAGTCCCACCAACAGTGTAAAAGTGTTCCTATTTCTCCACATCCTCTCCAGCACCTGTTGTTTCCTGACTTTTGAAGGATTGCCATTCTAACTGGTGGGAGATGGTATCTCATTGTGGTTTTGATTTGCATTTCTCTGATGGCCAGGGATGATGAGCATTTTTTCATGTGTTTTTTGGCTGCATAAATGTCTTCTTTTGAGAAGTGTCTGTTCATGTCCTTCGCCCACTTTTTGATGGGGTTGTTTGTTTTTTTCTTGTCAATTTGTTTGAGTTCATTGTAGATTCTTGATATTAGCCCTTCGTCAGATGAGTAGGTTGCGAAAATTTTCTCCCATTTTGTAGGTTGCCTGTTCACTCTGATGGTAGTTTCTTTTGCTGTGCAGAAGCTCTTTAGTTTAATTAGATCCCATTTGTCAATTTTGTCTTTTGTTGCCATTGCTTTTGGTGTTTTAGACATGAAGTCCTTGCCCATGCCTATGTCCTGAATGGTAATGCCTAGGTTTTCTTCTAGGGTTTTTATGGTTTTAGGTCTAATGTTTAAGTCTTTAATCCATCTTGAATTCATTTTTGTATAAGGTGTAAGGAAGGGATCCAGTTTCAGCTTTCTATATATGGCTAGCCAGTTTTCCCAGCACCATTTATTAAATAGGGAATCCTTTCCCCATTGCTTGTTTTTTTCAGGTTTGTCAAAGATCAGATAGTTGTAGGTATGCTGTGTTATTTCTGAGGGCTCTGTTCTGTTCCATTGATCTATATCTCTGTTTTGGTACCAGTACCATGCTGTTTTGGTTACTGTAGCCTTGTAGTATAGTTTGAAGTCAGGTAGTGTGATGCCTCCAGCTTTGTTCTTTTGGCTTAGGATTGACTTGGCGATGTGTGCTCTTTTTTGTTTCCATATGAACTTTAAAGTAGTTTTTTCCAATTCTGTGAAGAAAGGCATTGGTAGCTTGATGGGGATGGCATTGAATCTATAAATTACCTTGGGCAGTATGGCCATTTTCACGATATTGATTCTTCCTACCCATGAGCATGGAATGTTCTTCCATTTGTTTGTATCCTCTTTTATTTCCTTGAGCAGTGGTTTGTAGTTCTCCTTGAAGAGGTCCTGCACATCCCTTGTAAGTTGGATTCCTAAGTATTTTATTCCCTTTGAAGCAATTGTGAATGGTAGTTCACTCATGATTTGGCTCTCTGTTTGTCTGTTGTTGGTGTATAAGAATGCTTGTAATTTTTGTACATTGATTTTGTATCCTGAGACTTTGCTGAAGTTGCTTATCAGCTTAAGGAGATTTTGGGCTGAGACAATGGGGTTTTCTAGATATACAATCATGTCGTCTGCAAACAGGGACAATTTGACTTCCTCTTTTCCTGTTTGAATACCCTTTATTTCCTTCTCCTGCCTAATTGCCCTGGCCAGAACTTCCAACACTATGTTGAATAGGAATGGTGAGAGAGGGCATCCCTGTCTTGTGCCAGTTTTCAAAGGGAATGCTTCCAGTTTTTGCCCATTCAGTATGATATTGGCTGTGGGTTTGTTATAGATAGCTCTTATTATTTTGAAATACGTCCCATCAATACCTAATTTATTGAGAGTTTTTAGTGTGAAGGGTTGTTGAATTTTGTCAAAGGCCTTTTCTGCATCTATTGAGATAATCATGTGGTTTTTGTCTTTGGCTCTGTTTATATGCTGGATTACATTTATTGATTTGTGTATATTGAACCAGCCTTGCATCCCAGGGATGAAGCCCACTTGATCATGGTGGATAAGCTTTTTGATGTGCTGCTGGATTCGTTTTGCCAGTATTTTATTGAGGATTTTTGCATCAATGTTCATCAAGGATATTGATCTAAAATTCTCTTTTTTGGTTGTGTCTCTGCCCAGCTTTGGTATCAGAATGATGCTGGTCTCATAAAATGAGTTAGGGAGGATTCCCTCTTTTTCTATTGATTGGAATAGTTTCAGAAGGAATGGTACCAGTTCCTCCTTGTACCTCTGGTAGAATTCGGCTGTGAATCCATCTGGTCCTGGACTCTTTTTGGTTGGTAAGCTATTGATTATTGCCACAATTTCAGATCCAGTTTTGGTCTATTCAGAGATTCAACTTCTTCCTGGTTTAGTCTTGGGAGAGTGTATGTGTCGAGGAATTTATCCATTTCTTCTAGATTTTCTAGTTTATTTCCGTAGAGGTGTTTGTAGTATTCTCTGATGGTAGTTTGTATTTCTATGGGATCGGTGGTGATATCCCCTTTATCATTTTTTATTGTGTCTATTTGATTCTTCTCTCTTTTTTTCTTTATTAGTCTTGCTAGTGGTCTATCAATTTTGTTGATCTTTTCAAAAAACCAGCTCCTGGATTCATTAATTTTTTGAAGGGTTTTTTGTGTCTCTGTCTCCTTCAGTTCTGCTCTGATTTTAGTTATTTCTTGCCTTCTGCTAGCTTTTGACTGTGTTTGCTCTTCCTTTTCTAGTTCTTTTAATTGTAATGTTAGGGTGTCAATTTTGGATCTTTCCTGCTTTCTCTTGTGGGCATGTAGTGCTATAAATTTCCCTCTACACACTGCTTTGAATGTGTCCCAGAGATTCTGGTATGTTGTGTCTTTGTTCTCATTGGTTTCAAAGAACATCTTTATTTCTGCCTTCATTTCGTTATGTACCCAGTAGTCATTCAGGAGCAGGTTGTTCAGTTTCCATGTAGTTGAGCGGTTTTGAGTGAGATTCTTAATCCTGAGTTCTAGTTTGATTGCACTGTGATCTGAGAGATAGTTTGTTATAATTTTTGTTCTTTTACATTTGCTAAGGAGAGCTTTACTTCCACGTATGTGGTCAATTTTGGAATAGGTGTGGTGTGGTGCAGAAAAAAAATGTATATTCTGTTGATTTGGGGTGGAGAGTTCTGTAGATGTCTATTAGGTCTGCTTGGTGCAGAGCTGAGTTCAATTCCTGGGTATCCTTGTTGACTTTCTGTCTCGTTGATCTGTCTAATGTTGACAGTGGGGTGTTAAAGTCTCCCATTATTAATGTGTGGGAGTCTAAGTCTCTTTGTAGGTCACTCAGGACTTGCTTTATGAATCTGGGTGCTCCTGTATTGGGTGCATATATATTTAGGATAGTTAGCTCTTCTTGTTGAATTGATCCCTTTACCATTATGTAACGGCCTTCTTTGTCTCTTTTGATCTTTGTTGGTTTAAAGTCTGTTTTATCAGAGACTAGGATTGCAACTCCTGCCTTTTTTTGTTTTCCATTTGCTTGGTAGATCTTCCTCCATCCTTCTGTTTTGAGCCTGTGTGTGTCTCTGCATGTGAGATGGGTTTCCTGAATACAGCACACTGATGGGTCTTGACTCTTTATCCAATTTGCCAGTCTGTGTCTTTTAATTGGAGCATTTAGTCTGTTTACATTTAAAGTTAATATTGTTATGTGTGAATTTGATCCTGTCATGATGATGTTAGCTGGTGATTTTGCTCGTTAGTTGATGCAGTTTCTTCCTAGTCTTGATGGTCTTTACATTTTGGCATGATTTTGCAGCGGCTGGTACCGGTTGTTCCTTTCCATGTTTAGTGCTTCCTTCAGGAGCTCTTTTAGGGCAGGCCTGGTGGTGACAAAATCTCTCAGCATTTGCTTGTCTGTAAAGTATTTTATTTCTCCTTCACTTATGAAGCTTAATTTGGCTGGATATGAAATTCTGGGTTGAAAATTCTTTTCTTTAAGAATGTTGAATATTGGCCCCCACTCTCTTCTTGCTTGTAGGGTTTCTGCCGATAGATCCGCTGTTAGTCTGATGGGCTTCCCTTTGAGGGTAACCCAACCTTTCTCTCTGGCTGCCCTTAACATTTTTTCCTTCATTTCAACTTTGGTGAATCTGACAATTATGTGTCTTGGAGTTGCTCTTCTCGAGGAGTATCTTTGTGGTGTTCTCTGTATTTCCTGAATCTGAATGTTGGCCTGCCTTGCTAGATTGGGGAAGTTCTCCTTGATAATATCCTGCAGACTGTTTTCCAACTTGGTTCCATTCTCCCCATCACTTTCAGGTACACCAATCAGATGTAGATTTGGTCTTTTCACATAGTCCCATATTTCTTGGAGGCTTTGCTCATTTCTTTTTATTCTTTTTTCTTTAAACTTCCCTTCTCACTTCATTTCATTCATTTCATCTTCCATTGCTGATACCCTTTCTTCCAGTTGATTGCATCGGCTCCTGAGGCTTCTGCATTCTTCACGTAGTTCTCGAGCCTTGGTTTTCAGCTCCATCAGCTCCTTTAAGCACTTCTCTGTATTGGTTATTCTAGTTATACATTCTTCTACATTTTTTTCAAAGTTTTCAACTTCTTTGCCTTTGGTTTGAATGTCCTCCCATAGCTCAGAGTAATTTGATCGTCTGAAGCCTTCTTCTCTTAGCTTGTCAAAGTCATTCTCCGTCCAGCTTTGTTCCATTGCTGGTGAGGAACTGCGTTCCTTTGGAGGAGGAGAGGCACTCTGCTTTTTAGAGTTTCCAGTTTTTCTGTTCTGTTTTTTCCCTATCTTTGTGGTTTTATCTACTTTTGGTCTTAGATGATGGTGATGTACGGATGGGTTTTTGGTGTGGATGTCCTTTCTGTTTGTTAGTTTTCCTTCTAACAGACAGGACCCTCAGCTGTAGGTCTGTTGGAGTACCCTGCCGTGTGAGGTGTCAGTGTGCCCCTGCTGGGGGGTGCCTCCAAGTTAGGCTGCTCGGGGGTCAGGGGTCAGGGTCCCACTTGAGGAGGCAGTCTGCCCGTGCTCAGATCTCCAGCTGCGTGCTGGGAGAACCACTGCTCTCTTCAAAGCTGTCAGACAGGGATATTTAAGTCTGCAGAGGTTACTGCTGTCTTTTTGTTTGTCTGTGCCCTGCCCCCAGAGGTGGAGCCTACAGAGGCAGGCAGGCCTCCTTGAGCTGTGGTGGGCTCCACCCAGTTCGAGCTTCCCAGCTGCTTTGTTTACCTCAGCAAGCCTGGGCAATGGCAGGCGCCCCTCCCCCAGCCTCGCTGCGGCCTTGCAGTTTGATCTCAGACTGCTGTGCTAGCAATCAGGGAGACTCCGTGGGTGTAGGACCCTCCGAGCCAGGTGCAGGATATAATCTCGTGGTGCACCGTTTTTTAAGCCCGTCGTAAAAGTGCAGTATTCAGGTGGGAGTGACCCAATTTTCCAGGTGCCGTCAGTCACCCCTTTCTTTAACTAGGAAAGGGAACTCCCTGACCCCTTGCGCTTCCCGAGTGAGGCAATGCCTCGCCGTGCTTCAGCTCACGCACGGTGCGTGCACCCACTGACCTGCGCCCACTGTCTGGCACTCCCTAGTGAGATGAACCCGGTACCTCAGATGGAAATGCAGAAATCACCCGTCTTCTGCGTCGCTCATGCTGGGAGCTGTAGACCGGAGCTGTTCCTATTCGGCCATCTTGGCTCCTCCCCCCCCAGATCTCATTCTTAATAAAAGACAAGTAAGTTAAAATCGTAATGAAAAACTGTTTCCGGTATCAGGCTGGCAAAGATAAAAAGGTTCGCTAATATACTGAGAGCAAGTGTATGGGAAAAACAGAATTCTATACTTACACACTATTGCTGGAAATGTAAATGGTGGAAACTCCATTGAAGGGAACTTGGCAATATTTGCCAAAATTAAAAGTGCTCATACTCTTGGCCTAGAATTCTATTTTAAAACTGTATCCTACAGAAAATTTGCATTTAAATGTGCAAGGATATTCATTGTGGCTTTTTCTTTTTTTGCAAATAAAATAATACAACAAGGAATACATTAACTGTCTTATCAATAGACTGCTGGTGGAATACTCTGCTAGATAAGTAAACTATGGTAAATTTATAATAGGAAAAAATCTATGCCATACACAACAGGTATGAATAAGGGCAGGAGAGTGTGTAAAGATGGAGCACTGCCTTTTGAATTTCTTTTTCCCTTGAATTTTTTATTTTAAAGAGTTTATAGAATGCTTCAGAAAGACTATATAAACCTGGTTACACATTTTTGTCTTGGGAAGGGAGGCTTGAGGAGGTCTAAGATAATCTATTTCTATAAACCTTTTTATATTGTGGGGAAAAAATTGTGCTACAGCATTTTCTACCAAGTTAAAGCTTAATAAAACAGCAAGCACAGTTTAATGGGTTCACATTCCTACTGACAACTGCAGCTTTAACTTATCACCAATACCCCTAAATGTCCAATGACAGGCTCCATAGCTGAAGGAAAATTGGGAAACAATTGGAACGGTACAAAGATTGTGACATAAGTAACATTAGAAATAATGATATTACCTCACATTTTGTGAGCACTTGCGATGTATCAGGAGTTGGTCTAAGCATTTTACTTGTATTAACCTTCTTAATCCTCACAATTGTCCTAGAAATTATGTATTGTCTTCATCCTGATTTTATAGACAAGGTAGGCCTGAGAAACAGAGAGGTTGGGGAAACTCTCCAAGATCACAGTTATTCAATGACTGCTCATAATTTTAATAACTACAAGAACAGCACTAACAAAACAGAGAGCTTCCTGTGGCCCCCACTAGCATGATTCTGTCCTTCCTCACCAACTGTATCCCCCCCAGTCCAATAAAAGGTATTTTTCTCTGTCTGTTCAGTCTCAAAAAGGGAGATCTGTTTGGCTCACTATTTTGATTTGTAGACCTTTTCAAAGACTGTGTGGGTGTTATTAAACCTGTTTACTTCAGAAATTGAAAGGCTCAAAAAACAAAGAAATGAGTGGAAGATATGTCAGACAAATGCCAACTGAAAGATTGTGGCTTATCCTTGTTAAGATTAGAAAACACAATACAAAAATCATAATATGAGAGGAAGATGTTTTAAAATATTGACAAAGATTAAATTTCCTCAGTGAAAATATCACAGCCATAACTGTTGAATCATTAAATAAAATCTATGAAACATATACAACTAAAGATATTAAAAATTCAATAAGAAATTGACAAAATTACTGTCATAGGAGCAGACCTTAGCACACATCTGTGAAGCAGGCTCACTGTACACTGGTTACCAGTTTATCTGAGTCTGGTGAGATAGAACGTCCACACACACCACAAGGTACATGATGCAGGTTTATTACTTACCTACAGAAAACATGGGTGGCAGAAGCCCAGGATTCATTCTGAGCCTGTCCCCAAAGGCTCAGGAAAGCTGCCCAGGATAGAGGGATTCTCATCTCATGTACCTCACTTGCACTGCAGCTGAGGGACCCCAGAAATAAGTCTGACCTAGGGTTTTTTGTTTTTGTTTTTGTTTTTTGAGACGGAGTTTCTCTCTTGTTCCCCAGGCTAGAGTGCAATGGCGTGATCTCAGCTCACTGCAACCTCTGCCTCCTGGGTTCAAGAAATTCTCCTGCCTCAGCTTCCCAAGTAGCTGGGATTACAGGCATGCACCACCTTGCCTGGCTAATTTTTGTATTTTTGGTATAGATGGGGTTTCACTATATTGGCCAGGCTGGTCTCGAACTCCTGACCTCAGGTGATGCACCTCCCTTGGCCTCCCAAAGTGCTGGGATTACAGGCATGAGCCACCGTGTCCGGCCTGACCTAGGTTTTATAACCTGAGGGCTACATGACACACTGAATTAAATCAGTAAAGGACATCCTGTTTCTAGGGGGCCCTGGAACAGAGCCTGGGCTATTCTGGTCAGTCCCCCACATTTTAGGCTTTTGCATACTCAGCAAATTATACATTTATTACAAGTGGGAAAAACTACAAGTGGGAAAGGGAGGAGAACTGAGTAAGACCAAGGCCACCTGGAGAACTGACCTGCAACATCTCCATCTGTCTCTGTCACATCAAATAGATCAATAATGATAACAGCAATGATATCAATAATAAAACTGCATTATTTATAAGAAACAATTTTTTTTTCTGCTTTGAGTAGGGAATATTTCTGTATTTCTTTTTTGGTTAAATGGTCAGATTGACAAATTGCTGATTTTTTTAGTGCTTGGCTGTTCACTGTGCAGCATCTTACTGGAACAATTAAAATGGTACAGAAAAGTCAGAGCTGTGGAACCAAAGCTGGGGGTTTCTTGAGAACCAGTGAAAATACTTAGCAGTTTGAACTAAATAGACCTTGGCCATATGTAGGCCAATAACCATGCATTAAATAAATTTCAATTTTTTATGGAATCTCTCTTGGGTGTCTTTTTTCTTCTATTTTCAAAGATGCAAAAAGAAAGAGTCAGTGTCATTAAGCATAAATTATCTTAAGCATAAATTATCTCATCTCAGAGATGAGATGATATAGGTCAAGGTCCAGCACCCTGGAAAGATGGAGTCTAGTGTAGCAATTTTCTTGACTTTCTCTATGTCTTCTAGGTCAAGTAAGCTACTTCCTTCTAGTTCTGATATGTGCTATAAATGTATAGCCTGTGTATATATTTGACTACCTATAGCAAACCTTTTTTAGAATGGTAGGGAGAGAATACAGCAGGTAAATCTAATCATCCCTTTTTGCACAAGACCCTCTGTCCATATCTTTACTTCAAGAATCCTTTTAGAGTTTCCTTTTAGAGTTGGAAATCAATAGAGTGGAATTCTAGTACTGTCTCTTTTTCAAGAAGAAAAAATATCTTCATGACATCAGAGGCTTTGGAATTTATTTGTGGTCACAGAGGTAATCCTTGTCATACAATGAATGGACTAACTGATAATTCCCAGCCTTGAGCATATTATCTCTGTCCGTATCCCTCTTTTTGTCCAGTTGTATATCACAGAGTATTCATTATTGAGAAATGCATTTGCTTGTTGTCTGATTCTCTCCTTATGCAATGGTTTTGTTGTTTGGATTTTGAGGTCTAAGTTTTCGTCTGGAGGAGACTGGGTTATTACTAAGCTCATTACCAAGATGTGGAGGAAAGATCTCAGTTCAAGTTAAATTGCATATGTTTGCCCTCAAATTCACATTTGTATTAGCATCTTAGCCTGTCTTCTAAGAAATGAAATTTATTTCTTACATTGAAGGCTGGAAATCTATTGTCATGGGGGCACAGTAACAGCCTTCTTGCTGGTGGGAACTTTGCAGAGTATTGAGGTGGCACAGGGCATCACACGGCAAGGAGAATGAATGTGCTAACATGCTAGCTCAGATCCCTCTTCTTATATAGTTACCAGTCCCATTACCTGATAACCCATTAATCTGTGAATGGATTAATTCATTCATGAGGGCAGAGCCCTTATGATCCAAGTGCCGCTTAAACAGGCCACGTCTCTCAACACTATCACATTGGGAATTACATTTCAACATGAATTTTGGAAGGAGCAAACATTCAAACCATACAAAATGGAAAAATAAATCAAAATAAAATAAACCTCCTTAGCTTTGCTCAGTGGCAGTATTATGACCAACGAGCTCCATCTGAGGCATGATTATTGCTAATTGAAAACTTTTCCCAGTACGACTATTGAAATATAGTTTAGATTGGCATTTTTTGGACAGTCTGTATGGAAACTAAACTTTGTTGGTAAAAAAAATAAAAATTAATGATAAATAAAAAATAAACTGCTGACTTAAGTTGATTTATAATTCTGTATCTCATAAAATTGGAATATACATTTATTATAATTTGTAGCAGTCTAGGAATTTTGATGCTAGGGTAACAGGTGGGGTTTTCTTCCCTATACACCTTCTTGATGCTAGAATAGGGTAATTTATAAGATAGGAATAAGATCTGAATATATAATAGAAATTGTTCTTAGATGCAAGCACCGGTAGCATTTTAAGTAAGGTAGAGAAAATAGACTGCTAATAAAGTAACTGGAGTTGTATCATAAGATACTGCCAATCTTAGAAGTAGAAAGCTGTGCTTGTCTTGTATCTCTTTCACCCTGATGCTGGACCAGGAAGAGTAGAATTTGTTAAATGTCTTCCTCTTATAAGAAGGGCCTGAGGAAACCATCAAAGTGGACCAAGTGACTGACAGCCCAGGCCAGAGTCCATGCTAAAGCAGCAGTGACATGCAGAGGCATAGAGGGACATTGAGGGAAATATTTCATTTATATATTTATTGACACTAGGGTTTCTTCTGTGAACTATCCAGTGGGATCCTTAGATGCATTTTAAAATTAGTTTTCTTATCTTTTGCTTATTGGCTTGCAAAAGCTTTTCATAAATTAACTATTTTAGGCATTTGAATAATTTTTTTTATTTTGTGTGTAATTTTTTTGTAAACAAAAAAGCCTACAATTTTGTTTGTGTGTTTGTTTGTTTTGAGATGGAGTCTCACTCTGTCACTCAGGCTGGAGTGCAGTGGCATGATCTTGGCTCACTGCAGCCTTAGCCTCCTGACAAATGTTTTTATTTGATATCATGAAACATGTTTATCTCCTTTATGGCTTTTGGGTTCCTGCTAAGCAAAATTTAACAATTTCTAAATGCAACATTTCCTTCAAAATTGGAAGTTTAAACTTATATACTAGTAGCTCACCTTACTACTTTTTAGGTGTTTTATTATTATTATCACATTGATTTCTCTTTAATCTCCTGCATCTATTTCTCAGCCTAACTTTGGAGATAATCTTTCACCAAGAGCTCAGTTTTGGAAATACTTTCAGTGATTCTTCTCTTCTTTGGTTCACTACTTGGGTGGTTCTTCATTATTTCCTATTTTCTCTTTAGCTCTCTATGTTTTGCCACCTGTGATTTGCTCAACGCTCATTTCCTAAAACCGAGCCCCAAGGAAGAAATAACCACAATTGCCTTGATCAATAACAAGATAGAGAATATTTTCATTTCTGTGTCAGATTTTACTTTTCCCAATTACTATTTATAATTTCAAAATATTCACTATCTAAGCAACTTAGGAGTAAACAAACTTACATTTACATTCCCCTTTATTTCTCTCCTCCTCTGGGACCTTAACCTGCCACTGTTCTTCACTGATTCACATCACTCAGCTGATCTCTTTAAGTGGCACTTGTCACCCCAAGAGGGTAGTGAGGGCTGCCTCTGCTCTTTAGCTCATATTGTACGGCAGTGCTCTTTGGAACTGTCTGGCAAGGACTCCGTTCTCTCTCACTTACCTGCTAGGCGTGAATTTCTTTGTTGGTGACCACCTTGAATCTTCATGGTGCCAGTGACTTGAGATGGTCTGGCAGAAGTGGATGATAAAGATTTACCTTGTATTACCTTGTAATACAAAGATTTACCCTTTGTATTAAATTTTTTAATGGCTTTCAAAAGTTGAGTTATTTAGGCCCAATGAGACACTGAGTTCAGTTAGTAACTTAGTTTAGATTCCTCAAAAGCCAGACTCTGGGGCAAGAATTTGGGAGCAGGTGGTTTATTTGTGAAGTGTTTGCAGGAAGCAAAAGTAAAGGAGTGGAGAAAGAGAGAGAGGAAGAAGTGCCAACAAAGGTGCATTAAACACTGTGTATATGGAGGAACAGTGGTTCCATCTTACTAGGAACTCTCTGAAATACTGGTTAGAATAGAACTCAGAATTGTCCTAGTGGGTGTCTGGGAAGCTTGGGTATTTATCCACTGACTCTCATATCTCACTTGTTAAAGGATGTCCCTGGGGGTTAAATCTCCAGCATTTTGGGGCTATCCCACAGCACTGAGCAAGCTCTCACAACTCTGCAGAAAGCCCCAAGACTGAAAAACAGAGACATGCAGGCTCTGAAAGGCTGTCAGCCATGCACGGGAATGTCCACCATGGTTGTTGGTGAATGAAACAGGACACTGACAGCACCTACCATTGAGAAATTGAGATTTCATTTCTATAATTATAGCCCCCTGGCTGCATTTATGTGAATACACGTTCCATTGTGTTTTCTTTGAGCCAGTGTGAATGCTGGCTGTCTTTTTGGGAACACATTTGCTATCAGCCCACTCCCTACCCTCCTACTCTTCTCCTGCTGATACACTTCTGTCTGCCCTTTCAGTTTTCCAGAAATATGTGAGTATGTCTGAACCCCAGCAATGTATACAGGTTCAGTTATTTCCTAGGGGTCCCGTTAGGTTTCCATGCAAATAGATTTCCCAGTAGTTCCCAAGCTATGGCCATGACATATCTTAACTCTCACCAGTGGACACAGCTGTGCTTAAGCTGAGAATCACACTATACAATCTTAAAATCTGATCTTTTACGTATTTTCTCTTTCCTGACCTCTGCCAACTGGTATTTGACATATTCTATATAAAGTAAAATAAAATGTACTTATAAACAGTTTTTTGCCAGGTTTCCCTAGATACACTTAGCAACTGCCTTCTTAAAACACGGCTTAAGCACAGACTTAACATGACAGCATTTCTTTAAAAAGGACAGACGATTAATTAGTTCTGCCATGTGTAGAATGCCAAATAATTATCTTCTTTTCATTGCTGCATGCAGTCTCCTCCAATTATTACCTTACAAAGATTTTAGAAGAAATACCTCAAAGAAGATTGACTTTGGGCAAGTGACATTCTGTCAGAACCATTCCAAGGACAGAAGAGGATGAATGGGACTCAGTGACTACTGAAGTCTTCCCTCTTCCATTGATCGATGTTACAGCTCCAGGCAGGGGACCAGTTTCTCTGTATTGCATTTCCTTCAGTTTTAACACAGAAATACTAGTATACTAAAGGACTCCAGGGAAGTAAACCCAGAGGGGCAAGGACTGCTCATGGCAGAATAGTAAGAGGAGCCATGTGACCGTGTTTGCAAACTCTTGTTAAAGATTAACACTAGTTGAGGTTAACTTGCATTGAGGATAACTTCCCAATTAGCAGCGCATCTGAAATTGCCCTTATAGGGCTTAAGCATTTGTTGTTTGGGTTGTATGCATTCTCATATTGTTGCATATGGGTTGCAGTCTGATTGATGTCTTTCTTTTCTTTTCTTTTCTTTCTTTTTTTTTGAGAAAGAGTCTCACTGCATTGCCCAGGCTGGAGTGCAGTGGTGTGATCTCGCTTCACTGCAACCTCTTCCTCCCGGGTTCAAGCAATTCTCCTGCCTCAGCCTCCCAAGTATCTGGGATTACAGGTGCATACCATCTCGCCCTGCTAATTCTTGTATTTTTTTAGTAGAAATGGGGTTTCACCATGTTGGCCAGGCTGGTCTTGAACTCCTGACCTCAAATGATCCACCCATCTTGGCCTTTCAAAGTGCTGGGATTATAGGCATGAGCCAAAACGGCCAAACTGATTGATGTCTTTCTGGAGAACTTAGTTTAGTGTTTTATCCACAGTGTACTTAATAAATGCCAAGTGATGTGTTGCATGACTTCTCAGACTCTTACTAATATTTTTCTCCATATTCAGGGAGGCATATCGTAAATTCAGAGAGAAATTCAGAATTTATCCTCTTCTATAACTACAGAATGAGGGAAGACTAAGCTATCAATATCAGTCTGCATCTCTCTGCAGTTCATACCTCTGGGTCTCTGTCTTTGTACCTCTGTGTCTGTATCATTCTTTCTCTCTTTTCTACAACCACATATACTTTAGATTCCCTGTTCCCTCCAAAGAGCATTTCCTACGATTAAGATGAATCATGATCAGTCTTGCCATTTCAAGGCTCATGAGAGGGGAAGCTTGGTAGAGTGTAAAAAGCCTAGGTTCTGGGCTTTGTTGCCCAGAATTCATTGCAAATTTTTTTTTCCTGTCTATGACTTTCTTTTTATTCTTTAAGAATATCATTTGGAGAGCAGAAGTTTTTAATTTTGTAAAGTCTGCTTTACCGATATCTTTTTCACTGATAGATGATTGGTATTTAAGAAATTATTGTCTAACCCAAGATCATATAGATTTTTCACCGTGTTTCTTCTAAAAATTTTGTAGCTTTATCTATTACATTTAGGTCTATGATTTCTCTTGCATTAATTTCATTATGATACAAATTAGGTATCAAAGTTCATGCTTTTGCATATGGGTATTCTGTTGTTCCAGCCACTACTTATTGAAATGACAATCCATTCTCTATTTTTGCATCTTTGTTGAAAATCAGTTGTCCATATGTGCAGGTCTATTTCTGCAATAACTACTCCATTCCATTGATCTATTTGTGTACTAATACCACACTGTATTTATTAATGCAGCTTTACAATAAATCTTGAAAGCAGTTAATGTTAGCCCTCCCACTTTGGTCTGCTTCTCAAAGTTATATTTGGCAATATTAAGTTGTGTGCATTTCCATATGAATGTTAGAGGCAGCCTGTTACTTTTTTTTTTTTTTTGAGACAGGGTCTCGCTCTGTCGTCCAGGCTGGAGTGCAGTGGCCGCGATCTTGGTTCACCGCAAGCTCCGCCTCTCGGGTTCACGCCATTCTCCTGCTTCATCTTCCCGAGTAGCTGGGACTACAGGTGCCCGCCACCAAGCCCGGCTATTTTTTTTTATTTTTAGTAGAGACGGGGTTTCACCGTGTTAGCCAGGATGGTCTTGATCTCCTGACCTCGTGATCCAACCGCCTCGGGCTCCCAAAGTGCTGGGATTACAGGCGTGAGCCACTGCGCCCGGCCGATATTATTATTTTAAAATTATAATATCCAATGCGTGTTGCTAATATATAAAACTAAAATTGGTTTTAGCATATTAATCTTATATCTTCCACCTGACTAATCTGTGCAATCTGTAGTGATGTCATTTTTCCAATTTCTGATATTGGTAATTTTGTCTTCTTTTTTCCCGATCTGCCTGACTACAGTTTTTTCAGTTTTATTGATTCTCTCAAAGAACCAGCAATAGTTTCATTTATTTTTGTCTGCTGTTTTTTTTTTAATTTTTGTATTTGCTTATTTCCTATCTGATCTTTATTATTATTTTTTTCTTTTGGTTACTTGGGTGCAGTGGTTAATTTGCCATTAATCTATTTGGTGTATATTTTATATCCCATATTGTAGGTTTTCTATTTGTGTGTTTTTATGTCTTCCATGTTTTTACTTCTTTTTCTACATATGGAATATGGTTATAATAATCATTTCAATGTACTTGTCTGATAATTCTAATATCTGGGTCAGATTCAATTAATTTTTATTTTCTTTATGATTTGTATTTTTCTTGTTCCTTGCATGCCTGCTAATTTTTGATTAAGTGACAGACATTGTGAATTTTGCCTTGTTGGCTCTGGCTATTTTTGTATTCCTATATATATTCTTAAGATTTATTGGAGTAAACTATATATATATATTTATTTATTTATTATTTATTTATTTATTTTTTTGACAGGGGCTCACTTTGTCACCCAGGCTGGAGTGCAGTGTTGCAAACATGGCTCACTGCAGCCTTGACCTCCTGGGTTCAAGTGATCCTCCCACTTCAGCCATGCAAGTAACTAGGACTTACAGGTATGTGCCACCACATCCAGCTAACTTTTGTATTTTTTTTTTTATAAGCGGGGTTTTGCCATGTTGTCCAGGCTGGTCTTGAACTCCTGAGCTGAAGAGATCTGCCTGCCTTAGCCTCCCAAAATCCTGGGATTACAGACGTGAGCCACGGCACCTGGTCTTTTTTTTTTTCTTTCCATCTTTTTTTTCGGACCAGACGTATGTTTAATCTAGGACTAATTATTCCTCACTACTGAATCAAGACCATTCTGAGTGTTCTACCTGAATGTCTTTACCAATTATGAGGTTCTCTAGTCTGGCTGGTGGGAACAGGACAATCCTCTGTCCTTTTTGAGTTTTAGAAACTGTTCCCTGTTATTCTTACAGATGGTTCTGTCCCATAGACTTGGGTAATTTCCTCACATTTTTGCACTGATATAAACTCTGCTGAATATTTCAGAGATACCTTCTTCAGATATCCAGGGTTATTTTCCTGTGCAGGTTTCTATTAACTCCTCTGTCTGATAAATATACCCTCTTGGTCTCTGTAGAGTCTCAGCTTCCATCTTTTCAACTCAGGGAACCTCAAGTTCCACCTTGCTTCTCCCTGCCCATAGCATCATCTGGAAACTCTTGAGACACAAGCTGGGCAATCCTAAGAATCACTTTCTTTATTTCCCATCCTCAGGGATTACTGTTTTTCTTGGCCTGATGTCCAGTGTCCTAAAATCCACTGTGCCAAATGTGTTGTCTAGATTTGATTGTTTCTGTCAGGGGGTTAAATCTAGTCTCTGTTACTCCATGTTGGCCAGAAGCAGAAGTTCCTCAAAGCTAATTTTAATTATGTGATTTTTCACCTCATTAAATTGAGAATAACTAGTTGATTTGAAGGACTGTGATGCTAGTAAATAAAGCCGAGTTTGGCATAGTTAGAGCTAGAACTTATAGCCCAGTCTCTATTCCATGTGGCAGTCAATCTCTAACAAATTGTAATTTATAAAATTTTGCATGTAGGCATATGTGTATTTGGGCACATAAGTACAGCTATACCATTTTTTTTTATGTCTGATAGCTCAGTTTCAATCATTCACACAAATATCAGCAAAAAATAGTAAGTGCAATGATATAGTGGTTTTCACAAAGAAGATATATTCCCATCTGCATGCCTACTGTTACTGTAGTGTAAATTTACCATTATCTAGTGTGTTATAAAGCTAACAGATCTAATTTTACAGTTTTTCCAACACCAATCATACAAAGCTGTGAGCTGACAGCTATATGTTTATTTTGCATCAAGCATATCCTGGAAGGTGAAAACTCATACCCGTATACCATGATTTTTATGCAGAGATAATGCTTAAATTAACACATGGAGAGATTTAATTTCATTTACATATTTTAACATTATGAGAAATTATATCTGCCAGATTTGTTGGTGAAAGCTATGTTGTAGATTGATTATTCTAAAAGTAGAATTGGCTTCTTTCTGTTCATTATTGGCAAATACATATTAATTGCTTCCATCTGGGAAAAATTCTTAGCACTGAATGAAATGTATCATAGAAGAGTTTCTGGCAAGTGAGATATATATATATATATATATATTCAAAAAATTTATTGAATGAATGAATGAATACTTGCATGTTTCTTCAAGCTCCTAACCTAATTTGTATTGAGTCATTTATAAATTTATAAATATTCATGAAGTACCTATTAAGTACCAGGCACTAAAAATACACAAAGATGAATAAATTACAGTTGCTACATTTAAGGAGCTGATGGTCTACCATATTGCATGAGCCATAGGTACATTCTATGGTACAAGGTGTTTGTGGGGTTAATGCCGTAAAATGGTACAAAGAAAACTCCACAGGGAGTGATCACTACAAAATAAGAAGCATTCGCCTACACTTGGGAGGAATTGGGAAAATAGACAAGACATTAGAAATGGATTTAGAAATATAAATAATGTTTTGGTAGGTTAAAATAGGCAACGAAGAAGTTCCCCAGCAGAAGAATATCAGGTATAAAACCACGCCTGCTCGGGCAATCGAAGTGTTCTAGCAATCTGGTGAACAGGGAAACCGCAGACAGAGTTAAGCGATGAAGCTGGAGTGGTGCGAGGCCTGAAGTAGAGGTTACAGTGTTGGCACCTTTGAAAATGAGCAGGATGGGTTTCTATTTAAAGTCATTAGGTAGCTGGAAGACATTCATGTATTTTAGTAGGGATTTTGCACATGATTGAAAGTGTGTGTATGAAGAACTGACACGTGAAGGCAGGAAAGAAGTGGGCAGTATTCAGAGATGGGGAAGCCCAGTTGAAGGTGAAGCAAAATAATTCTGGAAATTAATCGTTGAAGTACAAGATGGGGTCTATTGTAAAGATATTTCAGAGGTAAAAATCTACGTAATTTGGCAATTAGTTGAATACAGGCTATCTAAGTGAAGGAGAGGGGATCTTGCTGTCAAGAAAGAATTTTACAAATATACAGGCATTCCTCATAGATATTGTGGATTCTATTCAAGACCACCACAGTAAAGCAAATATCACAGTAAAATTAGTCACAAATTTTTTGGCTTCCTAGTGCAAAAAAAAGTTATGTTTATACTGTACTGTAGTTTATTAGATGTGTAATAACATTATGAATAACAATGTGCATAACTTAATTAAAAAATAATTTATTGCTAAATGCTAATGACCATTTTAGCCCTTGATGAGTCACAGTCTTTTTGCTGGTGGACGGTCTTTCCTTGCTGTTGATGCTGGTGGTTGCTGAAGGCTGGGGTGGCTGTGGCAATTTCTTAACATAAGACAACAATGAAGTTTGTCACATTGATGGACTCTTCTTTTCAGGAAAGATTTTTCTGTAGCATGATAAGCATTTTACATACAATATAATTCTTTTCAAAATTGTAGTCAGTCCTTTCAAGCCCTGCTGCTGCTTTATCAACTAAGTTTATAGAGCATTCTAAATCTTTTGTTATCCTTTCAACCTTGTTCACAGAATCTTCAACAGGAGTACATTCCATCTCAATCAAGCACTTTCTTTGCTCATCCCTAAGATGCAACTCCTCATTCATTCAAGTTGTATCATGAGATTGGCAGCAACTCAGTCACGTCTTCAGGCTCCACTTCTAATCCTAGTTCTCTTGCTATTTCTACCACATCTGCAGTGACTTCCTCCACTGAAGTTTTGAATTCTTCAAAGTTTGGAATCAACTTTTTCCCAATTCCTGTTGAGGTTGAGATTTTGACCTCCTCCCATGAATCAAGCATATCCTTAATGACATCTAGAATGGTGAAGTTTCTCTAGAAGGTTTTCAATGGATCTTTTCCAGAAGGTTTTCAATGGATCCAAAGAGGAATCACTAGGAAAGTCAGTTACAGCCTTACAAAATGTATTTCTTAAACATTGAGAGTTGAAAGCTGAGATTACTTCTTGATCCATGGGCTACAGAATGAATGTTGTATTAGCAGGCATTAAAGACATTAATTTTCTTGTACATCTCCATCAGAGCTTTTGAATGACTATGTGCATTGTCAGTGAGCAGTAATATCTTGAAAATAATTCTTTTTTTGGAGCAGTAACTCTCAATAATTGGCTTAAAATATTTACTAAACCATGCTGTAAAAAGATTTGCTGTTATTGAAGTTATGTGTGTTTTTTTAATTTATAGAGGACAGGCATAATAGATTCAGCATGATTCTTAAGGCTCCTAGGATTTTGGAAATGGCAATGAGCATTGGCTGTATCTTATAAGTCACCAGCTGCATTATTCTGTAACAAGAGTCAGCCTATCTTTTGAAACTTCGAAGGACAGGTATTGATTTCTTCTCTGTAACTATGAAAGTCTTAGATGGGATCTTCTTCTGATAGAAGACTGTTTTGTTTCCACTGAAAATCTGTTGTTTAGTGTAGCCACATTCATCAATTATCTTAGCTAGATCTTCAAGATAACTTGATGTAGCTTCTACATCAGTACTTGTGACTTCACCTTGCACATAAAGTTACAGAGATGGCCTCTTTCTTTAAATCTCATGAACCAACCTCTGCTAGCTTTCAACTTTTCTTCTGAAGCTTCCTCACCTCTTTCAGGCTTCATAGAACTGGAGACAGTTAAGACCTTGTTCTGAATTTGGTTTTGGCTTAAGGGGATGTTTTGGCTGGTTTGATCTTCTATCCAGACCATTCAAATTCCTGGTCTCAAGCGATTGCCCCTCCTTGGCCTTCCAAAGTGCTGGGATTACAAGAGTAAACTACCATGCCTAGCTCTGGAGTAGCATTTTTAATTTTTTAATTTTCATCTAGAACGTACCCTTTCATTCACAACTTGTCCAACCGGAGCAAGAGGATTAGCTAACCTGGTATTCAACATGCCTTCCTCACTAAGCTTAATCATTTGTAGCTTTTGATTTAAAGTGAGAGATGTGCAGCTCTTCCTTTCACTTGAACACTTAGAATCTATTGCAGGTTTGTTAATTGGCTTAATTTCAATATTGTTGTGTCTCAGAGAGTAAGGCAGCCCAAGGGGAAGGAGAAAGACGGGGAAATGGCCAGTCAGTGGAACTGTCAGAATACACACAATATTTATCAATTAAATTTGCCATCTTATATGGGCACTGTTTGTGGCACCCCAAAACAATTACAACAGTAACATCCAAGATCACTGATCATCCTAACAGACATGATAATAATTAATAGGTTTGAAATATTGTGAGAATTACCAAAATGTGATGTGGAAACACAAAGTGAACACATGCTATTGGGAAAATGGCACAGATAGACTTGCTCAATGCAGGGTTGCCACAAACCTTCAACTTGTAAAAAATGAAATCAGCATGTGGAAGAGGTATCCTCACTTTTGTGTTTAATTGCAGCACTAATCACAATAGCCAAGATATGGAATCAACCTGAGTGTACATCAATGGATATACATATATATATATATGAAAATATTATTCAGCCATAAAACAGAATGGAATATTGTCATTTGCAGCAACACAAATAAGTCCAGAGGACATTATGTTAAGTGAAATAAGCTAGACCCAGAAAGACAAATATTGCATGGTTTCACTCATTTGTGGTAGTTAAAAAATTGATCTTAGCAGGTAGAGAGTATAATGATGGTAACTAGAGTCCGGGAAGTGTAGGGAGATGAAAAGAAGTTGGTTAATGGCCACAAAAGTACAGTTAGATAGAAGAAATAAAATCTAGTGTTCAGTAGCACAGTAGGCTGACTATATTTAACAATCATGTATATTTCAAAATAGCTAAAAGAGATTAATTCAAATATTTCTAGTACAAAGAAAAGACAAATATTTAAGATGATGGATATCTCAGTTACTCTGATTGAATCATTACACATTTTATGCAGCTACCAAAATGTCCTGTGTACCCAATACATACAATAGTTATTATGTATCATTTAAAAAAATGTAATAGCTGCCAGGTGTAATAAAGCCAAGCACAAGACAGGTCTGCCTATACTGAATTTGTTTTTAGCTAATATTTCCAAAGAAGAAACCACAGAATACTGAATATGGTGATGAAGTGTGAGTGAGCACATGGTCATCTGAATGTAAGCTGTGTACTTAGATCTGTACACAGAAATTGAGGCCAGAAAAGTTAAGACAACACAGCAGGGTAAATAAAGTTTTGAAAACTACTCCCTTTAATAGCTGGTTTTTTTTTTTTTCGTGAATGATTTGGACATTCTGATATTTTATGGCCAGTGGAGTAGGCATACTATTTCTGCAAATTCAAAGATCAAGCTAATAATTGATTACCATCAATCATATCTCTTCTGCCACTCCTCAAACCCTAATCGATACTAGACCATCAAAGTAAAACAAAACAAAACAAAATAAGACAAAGAAACACAACATGACTTTCTTCACCCAAACTAAAATTGTATTCAAGCTTCTAGGTCAAAAAAACCCTACAGGCAGTTGGAAATGTTTATAGCAAAACTAGTATAAAAAATTACTTAGACATAATACCTTTTTCATGTTGTTTGTGAATATTCTTTGTTTTATAGAATTGCTCCTGATTATAAATAACTCATTCACTACCCAATCTTCACCATTTTCATGGCTTTCAATTATTTTGTTATCTTTACTTTTATTTTCAAGAAAATATATACCTCTTCTTGCCAACACTTATAATATTCCCACTGAATTTTCATAAATCAGAAATGATAGGATTTATGTTGATAAAGCATGACAACAGCAAACACATTGTAGACTGGCAATTACCCTGAGAGAAAATATTGAAATGACTGCACACAACTGCAAAGTCCTGTTCTTTGTATGCAGAATAGAAACAATTTTTGTTCTGCTTGTAAAATCTGTAGGTTGAGAAGTTTATGAATATAGGAGATTGTATATTCTGTGCCCTCAGGCCTCCTATCTCCTGAATGCAGATTGAAACGAGTCTTTCTTTTTCTACTGTTCATCCAGGAAGGGGTAAACAAGGACAACCGGGCTTTTCCTTTTTCCACTAAGGAAAGCAGCAGGCTCAGTGTGATGAATACTTCATTAATGTTTGGACAGTGCCTGAATTCTCCTATACAAGAAAATAATAAGAAACATTCATGAAAATATTCTTATTGGACTTCTCAGTGAGAAAATGCCTACAACCTACTGACCTCTCTTGTGACATTATATTCTAAGAGCTCTCAAAGACTTGGGACTTTAGCCAGTCTCTGGTTGGTGCCATTGAGCAGGTGGAGTGGGAACTCTCCTCTTCTCAACAAGGCTGTGCTGAGACAAACTCCTGCTGTCACAACACATTTTCTACTCAGGAAAAGAAGCAGATATCTTAATATTCTCATTTTTATATATTTCTTTTTGTAAACTCCCTTTTTCTCCCCCCTCCCCTGCCCCAACACTATGCTTTACTTTTCTTGGAATTGCACTGGTTCCTTATGTGCAAAGGAAGGGGAGAGTGTAGAGGGAACTTCTGGGTCTTAAAAGACATTGGTTACAAGCCTAGAAATTAGATGACAACAGCAAAAACAGGCAAATTGTAAGGTTGGAAATTAAACTCAAAATATACAGGAGAAGAGCTTGTATGCAGCATGGTGTATTGATTACTTATCTTTTGTTCTAGGTAGGCAAAATTTTATAAGGTTACTTTTGTATAAAACCATGACAGTTATATTTTCCAAATTCAGTTTTATTGATGGCTTCAGAGAACTGAATGAGACTGAAAATGTGATCACATTTCATTTGCCCCATAAATTAAGTAAAAAGTTGAGAAAATGTGTATTTTATAAGAGCTCAGATCTTTTATTAATACAGAAAAAATGGACAATAGAGCTACATAAAAATAAAAATCCATCCAGATAAATATGACTCCATTTACTAGATCATGTATTGCCTATTGACCAAGGATAACATTCTCAAGCGGAAGAGTTACTTGTGGTTGTAACATTGTTTTGTGTTATTATTTGTATTGCTCATACATTTTTACAGTTAAATGACTAGAACCATATGTTGCAAGATTTATGGAATGCTTTTGATATCAAACAATGATTCTCAACAGGGGGTAATTTTGACCTCCCTGACTCCCTGCAGGGGACAATGTCTAGAGGTATTTTTGGTTGTCACAATTTCAGTGTATATTAGTGCTATTGGCTTCTTGAGGGTAGAGGCTAGAGATGCTACTAAATGTACTACAACGCACAAAACAGCTCCACAAAACAAAAAAATTATCCATCCTTAAATGTCGGTAAATGCCCTGGTTGAAAAACTCTGATGTAACACATTTTGTCCATTGTTGTTTTGCATGCTTGTCAGCTGATGCATTCTGGCATTCCTGATTGGGAATTAAGTGGTATCCAGTAATTTTATTCTACAGTGAGTGCCATTTATATCAGGTTTTGCAGTAAAAGTACTTTTTTTATCCTTTACATGTAAAATTGGCTCCTAATATAACACATAAATGTACTTTTTGTTTTATTTCAACTCTGCATTAACATTCCCATACAGTCTGTGCAGGATTATTAGGCCATTTATCCATCAATGACATACTGTAAATTGACAACAAAATGCTTCTGCAAACATAGGTTGGAATATCAAGTTAATAATTTCATTACAAGGAAGTCCCAAAAATTTAAATAAAGAATTCCAAGCTCTAAAACATGACTTTCTTTTAATGACATTTAATTTGCTCTGGTTTTCACAACCCTATAGAATAGGCAGTAACATTCTTAAACTTGGACCAAAGGTCAACTTTTTACTCAGCAGTTGCAGAATGACTGAACATAGTGTTCCTCTTTTCCAGCATCTCCTGCTTCACAAAGGGGCCATTTTGGGTGTGCACATAGCTGGCGGTGGGACTGCAGCTGAACCTATGAGTGGGTGTGAATAATCTTTCTGTGGGTTGAGTTGCACCCAAGAACAAAGTAAGACCTGAGCCTCAGAATGCAGCCTCTGTACTCTCTTTTAGAGAGTTTTATTTATCTTTAGGTTAAATAACATTCTAGAATATGTAAGCAAAGTCCCTGAGGTACATGGTATAGTGGTCAGAACAGATTGTACAAAAGCAAAGATTGTATTAGGTATGTTGTGTGCTTAGTGTTCTATGAACATACCAGGATCTTACGCATTTTCAAAAAAATTTAGGTGTTCGGTCTATAAGCCAATCTGGGCAGGGCATAAATGTGATGCATCTGGAAGTATAAAGGTAAAATCATATCTAACATAGCTGGTGTGTTAAAAGGGCAAAAAAATTATTCTTAATCCCTATCTCCTTGGCTTTATGATCAAAGTTCACTGTGCATTGACATTTTAGAAATGAATGTGACAAAAATGTGTTTCTTTATCCTCTTTTCTATTCTATAGAGAAAACTAGTTGTCTAAGGTTGCTTTCTTTTGATTCATGATACAACATTCACAGTACGATCGTGTGTTCATTTTTTCCCACTTAGTCAATAAGGAGGTTGAAATATAGAACCTCAGAAATATCAGGTTCACTACAAAAATCGCTCAATCAAGGTTAAACTTTATTTGTAGAGAAATATAACCTCAGAAATATCAGGTTCACTATAAAAATTGCTCAATCAGGGTTAAACAGTTTCATTTTATTTCTGGAGAAATAAAGCATATACCACCAAATTTCAAAATATGTATACAAAATTGAAAATATAATGCAGATATTGATTTTAAGTCCTAGGTTATATTACTTTTGGAAACAGTTTAAAACATTTTAAGAGATTTAACAAAACCAAGACTGACTTATTTGCTTGAATGTTTCTCATATATGATGTGCTTTCTTATTGGCCTTCTTTCAAAGCAGTAGTTTTGAAATCAAACTCATTGTCTTTATAGGGCAAGAATTATGAGGAAGAAGAAGGTATTGAGGAGATAAGGGAATATGATAACAATGGAATTTCCAATGCTTCTATGGTATAGTATTTGTCCATTTCTTAATGTTGATTTTTACTCTGTTTTGTTTTTCAGCTTTCATTTTAGAAACAGGGGGTACTTGCAGGATTATCACAGAGGTATATTGTGTGATGCTGAGGTTTGGGGTATAACTGAACCTATCACCCTGGTATTGATCATACCCAGTAGGTAGATTTTTAGCCTTTGCCCCCATCCCTCTCTCTCCCTTCTAGGAGTCTCCAATGTTCCCATCTTTATGTACATGTGTACTCAACATTTAGCTCCCACTTATAAATGAAAACATGCAGTATTGGATTTCTGTTTCTGTGTTAGTTCACTTAGGAAAATAGCCTTTAGCTGACTCCATGCTGCTGCAAAGGATAAGATTTAGTTCTTTTTAATGGCTGCTTAATACTACATGGTGTATATGTATTACATTTCCTTTATCCAATTATCCCTTGATGGGCAACTGGGTTGATGTCATGTTTTTGCCATTGTGAATAGTGCCGTGATGAGCATACAGGTGAATGTGTCCTTTAGGTAGAACAGTTTATGTTCTTTTGGATATATACATAGTAATGGGACCGGCTGGGCCAAATGGTAGTTCAACTCTTAGTTCTTTGAAAAATCTCCGAATTGCTCTCCACGATGGCTGGACTAATGCACATTTCCATGAACAGTGCATAAGTGTCCCCTTTCCCCCACAGCCTCACCAACATCTGTTATTTTTTTTGACTTTTTAACAAAAGCCATTCTCACTGGTGTGAGATGGCATCACATTGTAGTTTTGATGTGCATTTCTCTGATGATTACTAAGGATAAATGCTTTTTCATGTGTTTATTGGCCACTTGTATGTCTTCTTTTGGGAAGTGTCTGTTCATGTCCTTTGCCTACTTTTTAATGGGGTTATTTGTTTTTTGCTTATTGATTTGATTAAGTTCTTTACAGATTCTGGATATTAGACCTTGGTCAGATGTGTAGTTTGTGAACATTTTCTCTCATTCTGTGGGCTGTCTGTTTACTTCCTTGATAGTTTCTGTTCCTGTACAGAAGCTCTTTTGTTTAATTAGGTCTGACTTACCAATTTTTGTTTTGTTGCAATTGCTTTTGTGGACTTCGTCATAAATTCTTTGCCAAGGCTGATATAGAGAAGAACATTTACTTGGGTTTCTTCTAGGAATTTTTATAGTTTGAGGTCTTACATTCCTTAATCAATCTTGAGTTAATTTTTGTATATTAGGGTCTAGTTTCAGTCTTCCACTTATAGATAGCCAGTAATCCCAGCACCGTTTATTGAATAGAGTATTTTCCCCATTGCTTATTTTTGTTGAATATTGGAATGTATAAATGTGCAGCTTTATTTCTCAGTTCTCTATTCTGTTCCACTGGCCTATGTGTTTTTGTACTGGTACCATGCTGTTTTGGTTACTGTAGCCTTGTAGTATAGTTTGAAGTCAGGTAATTGATGCCTCTGGCTTTGTTCTTTTTGTTTAAGATTTCTTTGGCTATTTTGGACTATTTTGTCATTCCATATGAATTTTAGCATAGCCTTTTTTTAATTCTGTGAAGAATGTCATTGGTAGTTTGATGAGAATAGCATTGAATCTATAAATCACTTTGGACGATATGGCCATTTTAAAAATATGGATCTTTCCAATCCATGAGCATGGAATCTTTTTTCATTTATTTGTGTTGTCTCTGATTTCTTTCAGCAGTGTTTTATAGTTCTCCTTATAGAGATCTTTCATCCCTTGGTTAGATGTATTCCTAGGTAGAATTAGGCTGTGAATCCACCTGGTACAGAACATTTTTTGATTGATAGGGTTTTTTATTACTGAATTAATAAAAACGTTGTTGGTCTGTTCAGGTATTTACTTTCTTCCTGGTTCGATCTTGGGAGGTTGTGTGTTTCTAGAAATTTATCCATTTCCTCTAGAGTTTCTAATTTGTGTGCATGGAGATTTTCACAATAGTCTCTGAAGTCTCTGAGGATCTTTTGGATTTCTGTTGGATCAGTTGTAATGTCATCTTCATCATTTATGACTGTGTTTATTTGAATTTTCTCTTTTTTTCATTTTCAATGTAGCTAGTAGTCTATCAATCTTGTTTATTGTTTCAAAGAAGAACTTTTTGTTTCGTTGATCTTTTGTAGGAATTTTTTGCATCTCTATTTCATTAGATTTTTGTCTGATTTTAGTTATTTTTTTATTCTGTTAACTTTGAGGCTGATTTGTTCTTGTTTTCTTAGTTTCTCTAGATGCAATGTTAGATTTTTTTTGTTTCTTTTCTTTTTTTTTTTTTTGAGGCAGAGTTTCACTCTTGTTGCCCAGGCTGGGGTGCAGTGGCACGATCTTGGTTCACTGCCACCTCTACCTCCCAGGTTTGAGCAATTCTTCTGCCTCAGCCTCCTGAGTAGCTGGGATTACAGGTGCATGCCACCATGCCTGGCTAATTTTTGTGTTTTTAGTAGAGACGGGGTTTCACCATGTTGACCAGGATGGTCTCGATCTCTTCACCTCATGATCCATCTGCCTTGGCCTCCCAAAGAGCTGGAATTATAGGCGTGAGCTACTGCACCTGGCTAGATTCTTAATTTGAAATCTTTCTATCTGTAAACTGTCCTCTTAACACTGCTTTAGCTGTATCCTAAAGTATCAATAATTTTCATAAGAGCCTAAAGTATCAATAATTTTCATAAGAGCCTCTTGCTTTTTCTTTGTTCCTCCTTTGGGTTTACAACTTTCAGGTTTGATTAATTCAAAAACACATACTTAAAAGATTTCTATGTTATTCCCCTCCTCCTTCTTTGCATGTATTAAAATAGTCAGTGTAAGACACTCTGTAAGGTCTTGTGGGGATAGAAGATTCTGTGATCCATGGTACTTCTTCCAGAGAGAGCTCAGCACTACTATAAAGTTGGCAGACTAGCAAATAAACAGGTTGCAAAAAGACAAATCTCCCCTAAAGCCCACCTTCATCAGTACACCGCCCTCCCTTTCTAGCTTGAATTCAAATTTTCACATTGGAAATCACTATTATTTATGGTTGCAAATTACCTAAGCCCATTTATCTGCTTAGCTAATGTTAGGATTTTTTTTTAGCAAATTTCAGAGCTAAGTCCTGATGTTGGGCTACTATTCCTATGAACTAACAGCTAGATTGTTTGTTACAAGAAAAGAACATCTGAGACCAAATTATGCCAAAGGTGGAAACATTTATTAGTGAGGTGTCAAAAGCAAGCATGGATTCTGTACAAGTTCTGTTCTTGTAGCTTGGGTGAAACACCACATATACCCTTAAAGCTCCAGACTAGTACATGCATGCACAGTTTAATGTGAACTAGATGCAATGCTTTTCTTTCTTACTTTTTATTGAGATATAATTGCAATACAATCATAAACATTAGTTTGTTGAGTTTTATTAAATTCATATACCCATGTAACCATGTTCAAAATAAGACGTAGAACATTTCCTCCTCTTCAGAAAATAACCTGGTTCTCCTTCCCAATCATCCCCTGCCCCTGCCACTTCCAACAAGTGTTTGGTTTCCATCATAAATTAGTTCATCTGGATTTAAATTTCATATATGCAAGGATGCTCTGAAGCAAGCTTGTAGTCGAATTTGGAGATTGAACCTCTGTGCAGTGGAGGGATACATACACTGCCAGATCAGCCATGTATTCTTACTCTTCCATTACACCAGAGAAGTGGGGCTGTGAAAACTTTCTAACCCATTACATATCTTAAATAGCACTCATTTCATGGATGAAGATTATTTTTATACCCATTATATGAATTAACAAACCCTCTATCATAGATTTCAAGAAGACTATGTGAAGTGGCTGTCCTGGGGAATATATTAAAGTGTTCACACTTTCATTGCATATTCAGAGACAGGGGATCCATAGAGGAAATTGTCTTCTGAAGGTCTTGCTCTTGCCTATTCCTTCTCTCTTTTTGAATAAATCCCGCTCACTTTTAACTATGCCATTTGATAGCCCCTTCCCAACTGCCATAGCAGAGTTTATTATTTGTTCTGTTCCCCAAGGTTCTTTGTTCAAACCTTGATTATAGCATTATAAACAGTGAGTTTACCACAGAATACACCCTTTCTTGGCATGTCAATTTTTTTCTTCAGAGATTGTATCTTAGACATCTCTGTATTTTCCATGTCCATTGCTGTATCTTCCAGCACAGAATTCTAACTATAATTACAATGATGAATAGATGAAGAGTTAAAATACACAGTACCCAGGCTTTCTCAAAAATTCGTTTTTCAAAAATTCATGTCATTGTCTGTTGAGAATGAAATATTTTTTCTTTTTTGTTATCAAGCCTTATTAATAGCTCCTTTTATTTCTTTGATCTTCAGGATTCTCATCTATAAAGCAGGCTTAAAATGCACATTATTTCTACAATTGAACAAATCAACAAAAAAGTACATGTACGCAGCCCTCAAAACATTGCCCGAAACCAAACCTCAAAGCAACCGAAAACCAACTGGAATGAAACCTGTAAACCAACTTAGAAAATTAGCTAGATGAAAGAACAAGTTTCACTCATCATTTATCATCATATAGAACTTAAGAAACCAATGTTTGACTGAAGTTCAATTTTTTTCCCATTGATGATAAACTAGTTGGTATATAGACATACATAAGCTTTCGCTCATGAAGACACTTCAGTTGCCTGTTGCCTCAAGTCTAACCGCTTTGTCTTTGGCTTTTAAAGTTCTCCATCAAAAGGTCCCACCCTCCCTCTCTACCTATTTTCTCACCATTTCCTAATATTCACCATTAACTTGAGTCAGGCTGGTGTTTTCTCTCTCTGTCCTCCTCATGCCTTGCTTATTTGGGAATAGAATATTTTCATTGGGGGTATTTTAACCACGAATGCTCTCTAGATGAGTGGGCCAGAATGATGCTACCAGATCTTTACCAAGGCTTTAAAAAGAGATAGATGATGATGAAGTCTACACAAATAGTTTTCTTTTTTTTCCCTGTAATTTTATCTAGGATTTTCATTGCTTTCTTACCATGACAGGCCTCTTACTTTCCTCCTTTCATCTTCATTTGAGGTGTATTATAAGAGGATATAAAAGGTTAATCCTGTCAATGAATCAGCTAGAATTCTTTGCAAGATTTGGAAGATTTCATCTCTACACTATTGAGATGACTGGCTTAGAATGAAAAGATTCCTAGAAAAGGATGTTTTGGATACCCATGACTATCTTCTTCCTAGCCATGACTTTCACTTTGGAGTGATAGATAAAGCCTTCCTCTGAGTAGAAGGGCTTATGTATTGACATATCTTACCAGAAAAAAAAACTTCAGTCTAAATTTTATTTGCTTCTTAATGCACCAGAAAACATTAAAATTCTCAATGACTGTTGCAAGTAATCAATTAATTGATTCTAACTTGGTATAATCAAAATAAATTTTTTCTTAATTTCACATGTAAGACATGTGCAACTCTTTAACTAGAGAGGAAATTTTTTTATTGCCTAATGGATTCTTAGCACTAATTAGGCTTATACAATTATAGTTCAATGAATTAAAGAAGAATGCTACTGAGAAAATTAGCATACTAGTTAGGGTTTTAAATATGAAAAGGAGAATGCCTTTATCTAAAGAACTCTGCTCTTTTGTCTCCTTTTAACTCAGGAAAACACTCCATTTCTAGCTATATACTCCTTTCCTGCTTCACCTTTCAATCTCATGACTTCTTTTCTTCTGCCAAGGTCTCCTTTGAGCTATTTTCAACATAGAAACCAAAGTGAATCTAATAAGGTGCAAATCAAATTATGTCACTTCTTTCCTGAAAGCCTTCTTGTGACTTCCCATCTCACTCAGCCCTACAGCCTATCATGATCACTATAGTGATGTAGTGACATAGTTACATATAGTGATATAGTGACACAGTTATATATAGTGATATAGTGATAGCCTATCACTGTCTTCCTTGGCTGTAAGCAACCCTGACCTTCCTCTGAACATGACACTATATTTTCTGATGTTCTTCTCTAGATAAGTATTTTTAGGAGAATAGTTCAGAGCAAATGCAGTCAGTGCCTCTGATAACAAGATATGCAGAAATGTGAGAGACCCGTGGAAAATTGTTTCCCAACAACTATGTATTTTATTATTTTTATTTGTTGTCTCTCTCTCTGGTTACATTTTAAACTCTATGAAACAGGGTTGTTTGTTTCCTGCCTTCCACTTGTATATTTCTAGCTTTTAGAAGAGTACCTAATAATAGATACTTAACATAGACTTGTTGATCAAATGAATCAATGGTGATTTCTTCTTCAACAGAGATTACAAAGGAAGTTGGCTGGCATACTGTTTTCAGTTCATGGTAAGAATATAAGGTAGGTTTTTACTATAAATAAAGATATTTAGCTATGAATCCTGTCTCCTACTGCTTAGGGCACTACCAACCTTATGGTAGGTACTTAGTAATTATTTGTTGAATAAGCGAAACTTGCTGTATTAGTCTGGGTTCTCCAGAGAAACAGAATCAATGGGATAGATAGATAGACGGATAGCTATAGACAGATACAGATCTCTCTCTCTCTCTCTCTCTCTCTGTGTGTGTGTGTGTTTGTGTAGTGTGTAGAGAGAGAGAGAGGGGGGTGCATTTACTATCATGAATTAGCTTATATGAATATTGAGACTGAGAAGTCGGAGATCAGCAGTTGGCAAACTTGAGATCCAGAAGAGCTAATGGTATTAATTCTAGTTTGAGTCCAAAGACCTGAGAACCAGGATGTCCAATGGTGTGAGTTCCGGTTCAATTTCAAAGGCAGAAGAACAATGTCCCAGCTCAAATATAGTCAGATGGAGATAAACAATTCTTTCTTACTCATCCTTTTCGTTCTATTCAGGCCTTCAAGAAATTGGGTAAGGGTCAGCCACGTTGGAGAAGGCAGTCTTGCAGACCAGGGATTCAAATGTAAATCTCATCCAGAAATACCCTCACAGACACAGCCAGAACTAATGTTTAACTAAGTATCTGGGCACCTCATGGCCCAGTCAATTTGACACAAAATTAACCCTCACACTTGCTATAGTCACACAAGTTTCCACAAATTATTAATGGAGACTAATAAGTAAATAATACTGTTATCAGGATCTAGTGTGCTCAGACTGTTGTGTACAGGGGCATCTTTACCCACAAAAATTTAGATAATCAATCATGACAGACAGAAGTTTAGCCCTCCTTAGTTTCTCATGTCTGTTGATGTTGATATTAACATGGTCTTGCTAAATCAACTGAGAATAATGAATTCAGAACTATAAGGGGACAAGGCAATTATCTTTAAAATATAGGAAGGATGCTATAAAGTTTATCTCCAGATGTTTGATTGCCCATGGAGTTGACATGGTGATAGAAATAGAAGCATTGTACACTGAAAAACAAAATATCCTTGTTTCATTTTTATCAGATACCTAAAACATTTGAAAGTTTCGTAGGTAATGGGACTCAAAACAGGCAAGGTCAGGTCAGAGTTAAACAGAGAAGATTGTTTCTGCAAAACTGGAGCACTGTGGAATGTATATCTAGCTGAATTAGGAAAAGAAATGGAAAAAGGAAAGAAAATCACCGGTGTAGTTTATAACTCTGTGTGGGCTGAACCCAGCCATCCCTCTGTCTCTATTCACTTTAAGAGGTCAAAAAATCTGCTTTCTTTTTAACATCTCTTCTTTTTTTAACATGAACAAATAACAATTTTAAATCTCCAATATCTGGATTATGGGACTGAATCTTTGTTATTTTCCTTGGACTTACAATCATGGAATATTATGTCTAAGATTATTTTTAAATAGTTCTTTTGAGAAGGGTGCTATTCAATATTTGATTTTTATTCACATCCAATAAAGTAGTGCCAAAAAATAAGTCAAAGGGAACAAATTATTTGACCTGCTTAATTTTTAAATAAAGTGTTTGACAGTTAAATTTACACCTTCGTATGTACAATGTATTTTTAAATCAACCTCATAAAATGCAGTCATTATCTAGGTTTCTTCTAATAAAAAAAGTTTTCAAAATAGTTGTGTCGTTTCGTTGCTTTTTAGTTCTGAAAGAATCAGAACTTCATGCGTTAAAAGTTACCTAAGGTTATTATTTTTTTTAAATGGCTTTGATTCATTAAAATCTCACAAGACTTCAATTCACTTGAAGCTTTAACTTCCCTTTTGGTAAACTATTTATTACTTCCTGAGATTGGCCAATTTCCTAGGTACAAATGACTAGATTTCTAGAAATGGCACCTCAGTGAGTCATTGTTTGGGTCTGAAAATCCCATTTCCAGTGGTACAACATCAGGGATAGTGGCACACCCATTATGAGACATATATTAGCAGAAATGAAGCATTTATGCATTAAAAAAATTTTTCCTAAGGCTTTTGGTGGAAAACTAAATAAGAAGTCATTCAGTGGGTATGGCCAAAGACTGGTTTGTGCAATGGGATTATGCAACTACATACTAGCAGTGTTTCAGGGAACAGTTCCAGAGAAACTATTGAGAAAAGATCTAGGGTAGGAGGTAAGAAGAGAGTTCAGTAGTTCAGTAGTTGCCAAGCCCAGTTACTAGGAGTCAGAACCGAAAAATCCCAAGGTCAGGTGGCACAGATAACAGAATTAAAATTGTGAATGGGCAGCCACAATTGAGAACCAGATGACGCAAATACATCTGATAGGGACTAGGGAAATAAATAATAAGACGTTCTGATGAAACTGGCTAACACAGACTTCCAGGCTAAGATTACTAAAAAAAATAAGGCTTCACATGGTTCTCATAAAATTCAAATAAAACCTGTGTTTATAAAATTAAAAATCAAGGAGAGAATTTACATATTTGCAATTTTAAGCCTTTCCATCCATGAATATATCTCTATTTATTCAAGCCTGCTTCTAAGTGCTTTTAACAAAATATTATTCCTTTAAATTCTTAAGGTTTTCTTTTCTTAAGTTTATTCCTGGCTGCATGATGATTTTGGAGTTGCTTTTGTTATCTATAAAGGACAAGAAATTCCCCTTCATGGGGAGGGATAGCATTGGGAGATATACCTAAGGCTAGATGACGAGTTAGTGGGTGCAGCGCACCAGCATGGCACATGTATACATATGTAACTAACCTGCACAATGTGCACATGTACCCTAAAACTTAAAGTATAAAAAAAAAAAGAAAAAAAAAAGAACAAGAAATTTTAAATTATATTTTCTAATTGGTTATTATTGGTGTGTAGGAATCTTATTAATTTTTATGTTGACTTTGCATCCTGCACACTCTGTGAAATCTACTAGTGAAATTTCCAAATAATCACATAGATAGCCAGTACATATAATTTTGTTTCTTCATTTCCAATATATTTCTAAATTCCAAAATATTTTAAATATATTTGCATTGGCTAAGATTTAAAATCCAATAGTGAAATTAGCATCTGCATTTATTTTCTGAATGTTTTAAAAATCATAGTTGTTTGAATTTTATGAAACACTTTTTTCTGCATTTATTATTATGACCATGTGGTTTTCCCTCTCATCTGTTCATTAGTGTAATACTTAATATCTTTTATTATTGAGCACTTCTTATATTTCCAAAATAAACAGAAATAGGTCATGATGTATTATTTTCCACACAAGTTTGCTCATCTAGATAATATTTTATTTAGGATTTTGGCATATATATCAGATTGGTTTCTGAACTTAATTTGGTTTTAAATGTGCTTTATATGTGTAAGTGTGTCTTATTTCATTGCTAATTACATAAGTGTTTTATTTTATTAATTAGTCTTATTGGGTATTTTTCTATTTTATTTGCTTTTTCAGCAAATCAGATTTTTATTTCATTAATGCTTTTGTTTCTATGTTTTCTATTTCGCTAATACCTGTTCTTAACTTTATTATTTTCTTGCTTCAACTTTCTTATTTTTCCTAAGCTGCTGTGTTAAATGGTTAATTCATTTAGCTTTTTTAAAAAGTCATTTAGTTTTAAAGTATTTTCCTTTTCAAATAAATGAACTTCAGTGTACATATTTTCATTCTTGCAATTGTGAAAACTGGATCCCACTTTTTCTCTGTAGTACTTTCATTGTTATTTGTGTCTAAATGTTTCATAATTTCTATCATAGTTTCCTTTTTATCTCATGAGCTACTTAGCAGAACATCTTAAAAGATGAAAAATTTATGTCATCTGAAGAGAAGTCAGAGTATCATTTTAAGGTTCTAATATGTTTGTGTGTGTGTTTGTGTTTACATATGTGTCTATTCCTTCCTATCTAAGTTGCTTGCATTGTGGGTAGAAAACAAAGTCTGTATGATATTAATTACTTGAAATGTTCCGAGACATTCTGTGTTCTTTGGTTTCAATGTCTGGTTGGCAGTTCTAAGGTTGCTTCCATCCAAACTCATAGTCCAAAACAAGGTCTCATAATTATGGTTTAAAGTTTCTTCCCTGCAGTGATATTGAAGGATATAAGCAATCTAGAGACTACAGGTCTCTTGATTTAAAATTTTATTCCACACTGTTTCTGTGTTCATTACCTCCTGAAGTCAGTTGCTCTATAGAAATAACCTTAGGAAGCAGTTGGGAATAGTTTGTTGCTGTTATTGTTGTTGTTGTTAAGTGTCTTTTCAAGGGATGGAGTAGGTGGTAGGAAATTTCTTTCCTGTCTGTAGCTGGAAACAGTGGTTTCTGACTCACCTGGAACAGTTTTGGTGTCTCTTGCTCATAGGACCTGAACCCTTAACTACTCTGCCTGCTTTTGGACACTTAGATGACCAATGGCTTTGGAACCCACTCAGTGTCTTCAATTTCTTTTCTGTTTCTGATTCAAAAAAAGTTTTACTTTGCTTTTGATCTTGTTATGCCCTTTTGCTTTTTCATTTCTATATTTTATTCCTATGTGTTTGGAATAGAGGGAGTGCATTAAAGCATAAACTTCTTGCACTCTATTGACTTTAATACTTTTATCTTTAAAACATTTTGAATTATTTTTGTGTACAACAGGAAGCGAAAATCTAACTCTTGTTTTTTTTTTCCTCTCTTCAAAATAGATTAAAAGCATGTCACTTATTAGATAACTCATTCCATTCCGTGTGATTTAAAATATCACAAATGGTTGACTTCAGGTTGAAACTGGTTTGGAACTCACAGAACTGCTATTGCTACTGCTGCTGCTGCTGCTGCTTCTTTTATCTTTTAGCATTAAAGTAATTTTGAAAGGGACAATATTTACAGTTTGATATAGTCGACAACTTCTCTATCATCTTACAACTGATTAAACTCATTCGCGTAAATTGCCCAACCCTTGAACACACATTCAAGTGTACATGCGAAGGTTTGTTACATAGGTAAACACGTGTCATAGGGGTTTGCTGTACATATTATTTCATCATCCAGGTATTAAGCCCAGTACCCAATAGTTTTCTTTTCCGCTCCTCTCCCTCCTCGCACCTTCCCCCGTCAAGTAGACCCCAGTGTGTTTCCTTTTTTGTGTTCATAAGCTCTTATCATTTAGCTCCCACTTATATGTGAGAACATGCTGTATTTGGTTTTCTCTTCCTTAGTTTGCTAAAGGATAGTAGCCTCCAGTTCCACCCATGTTCCCACAAAATACATGATCTTGTTCTTTTTTATGGCTGCATATTATTCCATGGTGTATATGTACCACATTTTCTTTATCTAATCTGTGATTGATGGGCATTTAGGCTGATTCCATGTCTTTCCTATTGTGAATAGTGCTGCAATGAACATTTGCATGAATGTGTCCTTGTGGTAGAATAATTTATATTTGTCTGGGTATATACCCAGTAAAGGGATTGCTGGGGCAAATGGTAGTTCTGCCTTTAGCTCTTAGAGGAATCACCATACTGCTTTTCATACGGGTTGAACTAATTTACATTGCCACCAACAGTGTGTAAGTGTTTCCTTTTCGCTGCAACCTCCCAGCATCTATTATTTTTCAAATGTGCAAATTCTTGGTTCAAGTGCAAGTCCTTTACATTTCAAGTTCATGCATACTGTTATTTTTTATTAATTAGTAGAAAGGTTTTTGACAATTTTACTTCATAAAATATTTTTTCTCCCAGTTTTGCTTGCACGTAGTAACACTATTCTCTTCAGACTGCAAATGAGATATCTCCAGGGGAAATGGTTATTGGCTAGTCTAGAATTCTGCAGTAAATATTCAGAGCAATAAATTATCTTGTAAAGAACACTGAACCACACTTGGTCTTAAATTCCTCAATCAGTTAAAATGAGAGAAATGGATTTTCTGACCTTTGAGATTCATATAGGAGCATGGCTGTGCCTATAGCCAGAATCTGAATAGGTAAGATAATACGAATAAATGGTACTTGGGAGAATCCACCATATAGTTTGCAACTGAGTGTGATGGTATGCTTAAACCTGTTAAATTAAAATTCTTAAAAATCCATTAGTGAGTTAAAAGACAGGGTGAAGAACAACTAATTATGTGAGCAAATATTCTATAGAAGGAGATGTTACAAATATCAGGGAGAAGAGAAATGATAGATGCGGTTTATTACATATGCATAGCCAAAAGAGAGCAAAGGACTTGCTGACTGATACACACAAATCATGTTTGTTACTCTAACAAGTATTTTTCTTAACGAGCCAGATTTTCCTATTGTTTAAATTGTTTCCTTAATTCTTCCAAGCGATTGGAGTGCTATGCCCTGGAGTATCAAAACTGCCTTTAATGTTACCCTGATGTCCCAAATGTTATACTTCCAAAAGCGTAGTTGAGGCAGTTGAGAAGATCTGGCTCAATTTAATGTTCAATTTTAAGTACCAGGGGCTTTTGCATGATATCTTATTCTCTCCCTGGAGGATTATATTAATTGGAACAGGAACACTGAAGTGGTAACACACTTAGCATTATTTATCTCTGCATTAGGGACACTAAGGACCTATTTAGCTGGTGGGAGAATCAGAAGCATCATTTTCAGTTCCTAAAGAAATCAAGTTTTATCCCTAATCCTTTGCATGTCTCACCAAGCCCCTCTCTTGCCTTATTGAACTATTCACTTTCTCAAAGGAACACTAAGAATTAATAACAAATATGCATATTGTCCAAAGGGACCAGCATTTTGTCTACTTCTAGACTTCCTAATTTTTTAGATTTGCTGACTGTAGCATAAGTTTGATTATTTATTCTTTCATATTTTTGTTGTTGCTGCTGCCGTTGTTGAACATCAAGGCAATTTCATAATGTTGACTTGAATACTTTC
This sequence comes from Homo sapiens, assembly GCF_000001405.40. Classification (NCBI taxonomy): domain Eukaryota; kingdom Metazoa; phylum Chordata; class Mammalia; order Primates; family Hominidae; genus Homo; species Homo sapiens. The sequence goes on from NC_000005.10 coordinate 83,832,134, forward strand.
TTCTGATGACCTAAGATTTTTATTTCAGTACATCTACTCAGAGTTGCTATAGATCAAGTTTAAAACAAATCTATCATATCTATCATAATGTTATAAAATACATGTCCTTCAAATTTATTTTTTTCTCAGATTTTGTGTGTGTTTGTTTAAGTTTAACCTTAACTGGAGTTTCCCTTTAGAGCTTGCTTTGTTGGCCTTAAAAATGTATTCTTTATGTTTAAAGATTTTAGAGATACTTACTATATAGAGGAATTGAAAGGAAATATCAATGATAACCTATTAAAATGCATTTAAATAGACTTCCACACATTTTTATCTGTACTCCTCCTTTCAAGAATAGAAAAGAGCAGATCATTTGCATTTCTTCTTCCTCACTTTCATCCCTGAGAGTGGCCATCACAAAACTTGTATTTTCATACATTAAACCAACATTTATTTTACAAACCATTTTTTTCTTTCATCTGTCTTATTTTTTGTATTATAAATAATGCATACTCATGTATGCATTGTACAAGCTGCTGAATTACATGAATTCCTGAAAGTACACAAAAAGATGCAAAGAAAAAAACAATAAAATATCTCACCTATATTTTTATTTCTCTGAGATACCTACTGTACCGTTTTGCATATTGTCAGTTGTCTTCTAAAATTTTTTGCATATATATTATGTTCACAAGACTTTTTATCAATTTGGTGTTACCTTTGGAGAACAGTGACAATTGACCACCAGGACGTGTCTATTATTCTAAATTTTAGATCTTTGAATGTTATTTAAAAGACAAAGTGATCCATTGCATCATTATTTGCTGGAAAAGCTCAACTGAGGTCAGGGTCATCTCTGCATCAGGCTCCTGAGAACTTAAACTTGCAAGGGAGACATTGCTCCTAACCACTATTGCCTATAGACGGGCAGTTACAAGGGATAACTGCTTGTAGACATCAAAATGATTCAGTCTTCTCCAGAAAAGAAAAGCATTTAGTATAGTTTGGATATTTGTCCCCACCCAAATCTCACATTGAATTGTAATCCTCAATGCTAGAGGTGGGGCCTGGTGGGAGGTGTTTGGATCATGGGGACACATCCCTCGTGGCTTGGCAATGCCTTCATGATAGTCATTTCTCAGAAGATCTGATCACTTAAAAGTGTGGCGCACCCCCTTACCCCACTCTCTGTTTCTCTTGTTCCTGCTCTGGCCATGTGACGTACCTGCTCCTGCTTTACCTTCTACCATGAGTAAAAGCTTCCTGAGGCCTCCCCAGAAGCAGCTGCTGGCACTATGCTTCCTGTGCAACCTGCAGAACTGTGAGCCAATTAGACCTCTTTCCTTTTCAGTTACCCAGTCTCATTTCTTTATAGCAGTGTAAGAATGGCCTAATACAGCAACTGAAAGGAAAATATCAACTTGACAATGAAAATTAATGAAATAGCATTTTATTTCTTTGGCTGCAAAAAAATGCATTTAACTGACCATTGTGAACAGGTATATAATTTATAATTCTAAAGATGGTATAATGTAATCAAGCAGTCTCCCTGCTAAAAGTAATCTTAGTTTGCCTAATTTTTTTATTTCTTTCCCAAATATTTCTGGACTTAGTTGCTAACATCCTGTTAAGGCCACAGTACATTTCACTGTACAAATGCCTGAGTTAAGTACAGAATTTTGTGTTTTAATCATTTCATCTTCTACCCCAAATCACATCTCATATGACTAAAAGTCTTAGTCTATCATAAAATGTCCAGTAGGATTCTCCTGTATGTACAGTATTGAATGAGATCAGAAGACATCAAATAGAAAACCATGAACCAGACCTGCTCACAGTTATCTTCCTTTAGGGCTAAACTTTTAAAAACCATTTTAAAATCTTTTGCCAACATTTAACAATTGGAAAAATACACTTAATGTTGTGAAATGCTTTTCTTTTTAAATTTTTTTTAAAATTTATTTTTATTTATTTATTTATTTTTTTGAGATGGAGTCTCACTCTTTCACTCAGGCTGGAGTGCAATGGTGCGATCTCGGCTCACTGCAACCTATGCCTCCCGGGTTCAAGTGATTCTCCTGCCTCAGCTTCCTGAGTAGCTGGGATTACAGACTCGTGCCACGCCTGGCTAATTTTTGTATTTTTAGTAAAGACAGAGTTTCACCATGTTGGCCAGGCTGGTCTCGAACTCCTGAACTCAGGTGATCCACCCACCTCAGCCCCCTAAAGTGCTGGGATTACAAGCGTGAGTCACCACACTCAGCCGTGAATTGCTTTTCTTTCTTCTTTTTTTTTTGGTGTGCGTGTGTGTGTGTTTGAGACAGAGTTTTACTGTGTCAGGCTGAAATGCAATAGTGCCATCACAGCTCACTGCATCCTCCACCTCACTGGGCTCAAGTGATCTTCCCACTTCAGCTTCCTGAGTAGCTGGGAATGCAGGCATGTGCTACCATGCCTGGCTAATTTTTGTACTTTTTGTAGGGACTGGGTTTTGCCATGTTGCCTAGGTTTGTCTCAAACTCCTGAATTCAAGCAATCTTCCCCGCCTTGGCCTCCCAAAGTGCTGGGATTACAGGCGTGAACCACCATGGCTGACCATCTTGCTTTTCTTTTTTTATAAATCAAGAGATTAGGTAATCTTGGGGTTGCATTCAAGCAACCATCGGCTTGGACCCAGTAGTGCTACCAACTTAAATGTGGGGCCTGCTCTCTCGCTCACCATCATTCCACCATTTCCAGGTCATCTACACCTGGCTACTTTTACATGTTAACCTATGTCTGTATTCAGGTTTCTGACTTATTTTCTATGTGTTAGTTATGATTCCTTTTCATCATTTAACCTCTTCATATGCTAATATTCTAGCTGCACCACTTAACCAATTATTTTGCTTTACTTAGATTTGTTCCTACATCTGAGATAACCTTTTTATGTTGTTGTATGTTTCAGTAGGTCCTTTCCCTGTATATTGTTATAATTATCTCTTGTCGTATTTCCACACTCCAGATAAACCATTTATAACTTTCTGGTTTAATGTGGTCTTACGCCTGGTGGAATTCCTTTAGCCTGTGATGTTTCCGCTTTTCAAAATACCCTTGCTCTTCTTATCCACCCTTGGATATCACTTATGCATTCTCTAAGCATCACTGCCAATGCTACCTTTTTTTTCTGACACAGCCTGTCCCCCCACCAGCTAAGTTAGGGGTTTCTTTTTTTGTCTGCCAATGATACCTTGGACACAGTTCTATCAAAATATTTACCTCATTTATTGGCCGGGCACAGTGGCTCATGCCTGTAATCCCAGCACTTTGGGAGGCCAAGGCAGGTGGATCACTGGAGGTCAGGAGTTTCAGACCAGCCTGACCAACATGGAGAAACCCCATCTGTACTAAAAAAATACAACAAAAACAAAAACAAAAAATTTAGCCAGGCATGGTGGCACACACTTGTAATCAAGTGGTGCAGAAGAATCACTTGAACCTGGGAGCCGGAGGTTGCAGAGAGCTGAAATGGCTCCGCACACTCCAGCCTAGGCAACAGAGTGAGATTCCGAATCAAAAAAAAAAAAAAAAAATTACTTCATTTATGACCCTAGAGTGCATTTGTTGATTTGTTTACCTATAGCCCCTAAGTAAGTTTCTCTACTCCCAGACTTGTTCCTTCAGGTAAAGACTGTGCATCATGCAGGCTTACTGTGTCCACACTCAACTACATGCTCAGACAGATATAGTCCATTTTATACTTCTCTAATTGTTTCATTAAGTTGTGGTTTATTTGACAACTTTCATAAAATTAATATTTCTTTTTTTTTTTTTTTTAAGACGGAGTCTTGCTCTGTCGCCCAGACTGGAGTGCAGTGGCATGATCTCAGCTCACTGCAAACTCCGCCTCCTGGGTTCAAGCAATTCTCTGCCTCAGCCTCCCCAGTAGCTGGGATTACAGCCACCACACCTGGCTAATTTTTGTCAGGGTCATCTCTGCATCAGGCTCTTGAGAACTTAAACTTGCAAGGGAGACATTGCTCCTAACCACTATTGCCTATAGGCAGGCAGTTACAAGGGATAACTGCTTGTAGACATCAAGATGATTCAGCCTTCTCCAGAAAAGAAAAGCATTTAATATAGTTTGGATATTTGTCCCCACCCAAATCTCACATTGAATTGTAATCCTCGATGCTAGAGGTGGAGTCTGGTGGGAGGTGTTTGGATCATCGGGGCACATCCCTCATGGCTTGGTACTGTCTGCATGATACTCATTTCTCAGGAGATCTGATCATAGATCTCCTGACATGTCCTGGTGGTCAATTGTCACTGTTCTCCAGAGGTAATACCAAACTTATAAAAAGTCTTGTGAACATAATATATATGCAAAAAAATCTTAGAAGACAACTAACAATATGCAAAATGGTACAGTAGGTACCCCAGAGAAACAAAAATATGGGTGAGATATTTTATTGTTTTTTCTTTGCATCTTTTTGTGTACATTCAGGAATTCATGTAATTCAGCAATTTGTACAATGCATACATAGTATGCATTATTTATAATATAAAAAATAAGACCAATTTCTTATAAAAAACGAGACTGATTGTATTTTAGTAGAGATGGGGTTTCACCGTCTTGGCCAGGCTGGTCTTGAACTCCTTATTTTGTGATCCACCCTCCTCAGCCTTCCAAAGTGCTGGGATTATAGGCGTGAGCCACTGCTCCTGCCCTAAGCTAATATTTCTACCCTGTATGGGTACAAGTCTTCGCCCTACTGCTTCTCTTCCCTTCCCCCACTTTTTCTTCCAGCTCTCCTGCAGTCTGGAGCATCACACATACACTCAGATACAGACACTCACACACACACTACCAATACCACCACCTCTACAATTACATAGCAGAGTAATCATAATAAGTATCTACTAATTTGAAAGGTTTTGGTAGTACAGAAATACAGGTTTAGCATTTGCAATATAAATATCAGACTTTTTACCTGCCACACTGCCTTTTATAGTTTATTAAATTTTACTTAAAATGCTGTTTTAAAGTAAACAATGAAAATGATAATTTCATCAGAGCTAGAATTAAAAAGAAATTTTAAAGGCTCCAAAGACTCTTACCTAGTATGAATCATGTAGAAGGGGCTGTTTTCAGAAAAGAGTTTAAAATTTTTTCAATAAGCTGTGATGGAAGGTAACTACAGAAAGCTCTCCATGATCAGTTTCGTGTCTAGTTGTAAAAGTGGGCCTTGAATACCCTCATTTGTGTGCCTGATGTGGAGTTGTCTGTCTTTATGGGATTTTACACAGCTGACAGCTAATGCAGGTGTTTAAATGCAAAATCTGACACCAATGTCTTCCCCTAAATGACGCTTCAATTCATAAATTATATGAATATGAGTAGCACTATTCATTTATGAAATAATGCAGCTATCACTTAGTAATGCAATTCAAAACATCTTTCACTTTATTTAGCCATTTCCAACCCCATTACATGTGACTATGAAAAGAATAAAAATTGATTAGACAAGGAGTGAAAAGTGGGCAAAAGCATTTCCCAGCATGTTGCCTGACTCATGGCAAAATGATGGAGCTGTAGCATTTTATTTCCTATTGAAGAGATGTTTCTTGCTTAGGTGGCCTGTTTCTGATTAAAAGCATCTTTGTAATATTGCATTCACTTCCATAAAAAGAATATGCTCTGTGCCAGGAAAGAGTCTGGTACTAATTGCAAAAAAAGATGTTACTGCGGCAAGACAGGATATTCCCGGTTCTGAAGCTTGTAGGATGGGGGGTCTAGAAAATGTAGCACATCATTTCCCTGTAGCTTCTACTTTCTCTGTGTTGGGTCAATAATAAAAGTGGAAATGATATAACCATCACCAGCAGCTAAAACATCAATGATAGCTATAACTTTTTCAGGGCTTTGCAAATATTATTTCCTTCAAATATATTACTTAACAATTGTCAAAACAACCTGGAAATGTGGAATTATTATCCTGTTTTACAGATGTGGACTTTGAGGCTCAGCTATGTTAAGTGACTTGCACAGCTAGGTAATGAATGCTAGACCCAGGTCTGTCGGGCGCAAGCCCGTGCTCTTTCCACTTTCCCCGAGAGTGACTTTCTCCAGAATGTCAACTTCTCATCTCCCATTCCTGTAACTACATAATTTAGGGTTTACAGTGCCTGTGTGAGAAAAGATAGAAAGCTCCCATTGACTGTCGTCCCAAACGTGGTTCACAGGCCTGTATGACAGGGGAACTCTTTGCTTGCTTTCATAATTTTTTGAGATTTCTAATTAAAGCATTTCGCTGTTTAGGGTTTTCTTTTTGAATTTTGGGAAACATCTAGATGTAGATCTATTCTGTCTTTTTCAGGAAGAGAAGGGAGAACGCATGTCTGTCTCTCTGGTGGCACTTGGGGAGTGTCATCCTGGCCGGCCATCCATCCTCTATGAGCTCCAGACACAGCCTGTGGTGTACTCGTGCAGGGAAGCAATTGAGAAGCAGCACAAATTAGAGTTCTGTGAAGAATAGCTTGTCAAAGGATAAGGGACATATTTTACATTTACTTTTGTGAAATGTGGTATTTGGGATGAGGATCTTGCATTTTGAGCAGAATGTTGCTAATTTCTCACATGGTCTTTATCGAGAAGTACAAACTCAGTGGGCAGTATACAGCACGAGGAACATGTCCCAGGAAGGTTGTGAATTACACTGCCAGATGGCCTCAGCTCCCCACGGGCTGCTCCAAAGTCATACAGATTCTTTTTTCATTAATTTCAAATTTTCCCTAACATTTTCATAGGCATAAGACTTTTAAAGGGGGAAAATAGCCATTTTAATAAAAAAAGAAAATAGTTAGTTTGGACATACACATTTTGCAGGTGAATACAGTCCTATATTTATTAAAAAATGAATACATGATACGATAATATCTATGTTCAAAATACATTTACATTTGTAATGCATCACTTATTAGAAATAGATAAGTTTTATCATTGTTTCCCTCTCAAGATTGTATGCTTATTAGTGGCAGACAGAGCTTTATAGACTAGTGGTTTCTGTGTTCTATTCTAAATATGACATGAAACTTATTGCATAGAACTTCCCTCCTTTTTCTCTTTTGATTTATTTCTTTTCCAGAATCCTACATAATCCTGATTTTGAATTTTCAGTCAGCTGGACTCTTTACCAGGTCTGTACAGGAAAAGGTATCAGATTGGATTCTCAGGCTAAAAATGCCATAGTTGGAATGAAAGGAAAGGATTTAAGTAAACATGGCCAACACCGAAAAAACTTTCTGTTAAATATAGACAAGAAGACCATAAAACAATGGGTAGAACTAGAATGTGTTTCTTTGTTTTAAAACCCCACCCTCAGGCTTGAAACCATAGTATAACTTCTGAAGCAACTGTCGTGGATATATTCTGGAAGACCAAAGAAAAATTAATCCTATCCTTTTAACATTGATATAAATTCATTAGGTCTATATATTTTTTCCCTCTACTGTGTAGAATCTGAAAGTGGTATTCTTGAAATTATTAACACAGTACAGATGGCCTATTCTAATCAATCTGGCTTCTTCGCAGTCCATGAACACACCTTGTTTGCTCCACCTCAGATGGGTCATTCTGTTTCTGTCTATTCACCTGTCTCCGTTCTTGCCTCCAAGATTCACATATGACCCTTCAGTATCACAAAGTATACTCTAGTGAGCGCAGCCTTCCCTTGCTTAGAAAAAGTGTAGCCCTTAATTGTTGCTTAGTAGTCTCTGCTATGCTGCTCTTTGGTATGAGTTTGCCTTCACAACTATATTGCGCCTTCTCAACTATATTGTGGGCTCGCTAAAGGGAAGGAACCTGTCATATACATCCCTCAGCACAAAGCAAAGCTTGGACTCTCAGGAAGAGCTTGTTGACTTGGAGACTGCTTTCTGCCATGTAATTTTTATTGTTTTATGGAGGGAGATTCTGCAGAGCATAAACTATGTCCTTGAAACCAAGCACTCTTGGGAACTATATTAATTTAGGGCACATGGGCCCTATTTATTTACTGTTTCAATATACTGAGTTGGATGTACTATCAATCACACAATCTGGCAGTATTTTAAAAATGCAATACTTCTTCTGCATGTTTCAGCTTTGCTCCTTCTCTGATGACCTTTTGGAAGCAGTGGAGTGGGTCTAGGAGAAGAGAAGTACTTGTCATGCTCCGTCAACTTCTAGAACCTGAATTTAAAAACCTAAAGAGATCAAGAATTCCTTTTGTCGTTTTCTTAAAGAAGAAATACCATCTCCACCAGTAGAGAAAAGCATAGTATAGGCATACCTTCTTTTATTGTGCTTAGCTTTACTGCACTTCACAGATAATTGCATTTTTTACAAATCGAAGGTTTGTGGCAACCCTGAGCCAAGGAAGTCTATTGATGCCATTTTTCCAACAGCATGTGCTCACTTCATACTTCTTTGTCACGTTGCGGTAATTCTTGCAATATTTTAAACTTTTAAATTATCATATCTGTTATAGTGATCTGTGATCAGTGATCTTTGATGTCACTATTGTAATTATTTTGAGGCACCACTAACTACTCCCATATAAGATGTGAACTTAATCTAGAAATGTGTGTGTCCTGACTGCTTCAACAACCAGATGTTTCTTTGTCTCTCTCTCTCTTCTTGGTCATCCCTATTCCCTGAGATACAATATATTGAAATTAGGCCAATTAATAGCACTACAATAGCCCCTAAGTGTTCAAGTGAAAGGCCACTTTGCACGTCTGTCACTTTAAATCAAGCACTAAAAATGATTGAGCTTAGTGAGGAAGGAATGTCAAAAGCCAAGATAGGCTGAAAGCTAGGCCTCTGTGCCAAGCAGTTAATCAAGTTGTGAATGCAAAGGAGAAGTTTCTGAAGAAAATTAAAAGTGCTACTCCAGTGAACACACAAATGACAAGAAAGCAAAAGAAACTTCTTGCCAATATGGAGAAAGTCTGAGTGGTCTGGATAGATAAAACCAGCCAGAACATTCCCTGAAGCCAAAGCCTAATCCAGAGCAAGGTCCTAACTCTCTTCAGTTCTATGAAGGCTGAGAGAGATGAGGACACCAAAGAAGAAAAGTTGGCAGCTAGAAGAGGTTGGTCATGAGGTTTAAAGAAAGAAGCTATTCCATAACATACCAGTGCAAGGTGAAGCAGCAAGTGCTGATGGAGAAGACGCAGCGAGTGATCCAGAAGATACAGCTAATATCATTGATAAGGCAGCTACACTAAACAACAGATTTTCAATGGAGATAAAACTGACTTCTATTGGAAGAAAATGCTATCTAGAACTTTCTTTCTTTCTTTTTTTTTTTTGAGACAGAGTCTTGCTCTGTCGCCCAGGCTGAAGTGCAGTGGCGCAATATCAGCTCACTGCAAGCTCCGCCTCCTGGGTTCACGCCATTCTCCTGTCTCAGCCCCCCGAGTAGCTGGGACTACAGGCGCCCGCCAACTTTCATGTCTACAGAGGTGAAGTCAACACTTGGCTTTAAAGCGTCAAAGGACAAGATGAATCTTTTTTTTAGGTGCTCATGCAGCTGGTGACTTACAAGTGGAAGCCAATGCTCATTTACCTTTCCAAAAACCCTATGTCCCTTGAGAATTATGCTAAATTTATTCTGTCTTTGCTCTATAAGTGGAACAACAAAGCTTGGATGAGAGCACATCTGTTTACAGCTTGGGTTACTGATTATATTAAACCTACTGTTGAGAGCTACTGCTGAGAAAAAAAAAATCATTTCAAAATATTACTGCTCATTGACAGCGCATCTGGTCACCCAAGAGCTCCAATGGAGATGTACAAGGACATTAATGTTTTTATACCTGCTAACAGAACATCCATTCTATAGCCCATGGATCAAGAAGCCATTTCAACTTTTAAGTCTTATTATTTAAGAAATACATTTTGTAAAGCTATAGCTGCCATAGGTAGTGATTCCTCTGTGGATCTGGGCAAAGTTAATTGAAAATCTTCTGGAAAGGATTCACCATTGTAGATGCTACTAAGGACATTTGTGATTCATGGGAAGAGGTCAAAATATCAACATTAACAGAATTTTGGAAGAAACTGATTCCAACCCTCGTGGATGACTTTGAGGGATTCAAAACTTTAGTAGAGGAAGTCACTGCAGATGTGGTGGAAATAACAAGAAAACTAGAATTAGAAGTGGAGCTTAAAAATGTGACTGGATTGTTGCGATCTCCTGATAAAACTTGAATGGATGAGGAGTTGCTTCTTAGCAAATAGCAAAGAGAGTGGTTTCTTGTGATGGAAACTTCTCCTAGTGAAGCTGCTGTGAGCATTGTTGAAATGGCGATAAAGGATTTAGAATATTCCACAAACTTAGTTGACAAAGCAGTGAGAGGGTTTAAAAGGATCGACTTTAATACTGAAAGAAATTTTACTGTGGGTAAAATACTATCAAATGGCATCACATGCTACAGAGAAAAAGTTCAAGAAAGGAAGAGTTAATCAATGTGGCAAACTTCACTGTGACCTTATTTTAAGAAATTGAGGCTGAGCATGTTGGCTCATGCCTGTAATCCCAGCTCTTTGGGAAGCGAAGGCAGGGGAGGATCACTTGAGGCCAGGAGTTCAAGATTGGTCTGGACAAAATAGTGAGACCCAGGTGCTACAAAAAAATTAAAAAATAAGAACAATTAGCTAGGCATGGTGGTGTTTGTACTGTAGCTACTTGGGATGCTGAGGCAGGAGGATTCCTTGAGCCCAGGAGTTTGACACTGCAGTGAGCTATAATCATGCCACTACACTCCAGCCTGGGCCACAGAGAGAGACTATGTCTCTTCAAATAAGAAAGAAATTGTTACAGCCACCCCAATCTTCACCAGTCATCACCCTGATAAGTCAGCTGCCATCAACAATGAGGCAAGACCCTCCACCAGCAAAAAAAATATCACTCACTGAAGGTACAGATGATAGCATTTTTTAGCAATAAAGTATTTTTAATTAAGATACGCATTTTTTTTAGATATAATACCATTAAACACTTAATAGACTGCAGTATATTTTAAACACGACTTTTATATGCACTGGGACACCAAAAAAATGGTGTGACTCACTTTATTGTGATATTTGTTTTATTGCAGGGGTCTGGAATGGACCTGCAATAACTCCAAAGTGTGCTTGTAATTTTAGTCACCCTTAGAATTATACCCATTGAATGAGAAGGTGAATGCTTATCTTATAGCAGCATTTGTCAAGGTGGACCTATGACATTATTCCTGTTTTTTCTTTTCATTTAGAAGTCATCTGATTTCAGTGTGTCTGAGATGTCATGGTGCATATGAGGCCTATATAGGACCAAGCCCCCAGGCACTCTTAGTCAAGGTACATTTCAATAACGTATTGTAAATAGGGCTTCTCAGGCAATCAGGTTCCCTGGAAGCTTTGAGTTAGGTAATGGATCTAGTAGAGAGCAGCTTAGAGTAGCAGGTGTTGGGACAGATTAAGCCTCAGGCAGAACCACTGCCTAAATCACTAACTCTGCCTGACACAAAAATTTTATTTATTTATTTATTTATTTTTTATTTTTTTGAGATGGAGTCTTGCTCTGTTGCCCAGGCTGGATGCAGTGGCGTGATCTTGGCTCACTGCAACCTCCGCCTCCCGGGTTCAAGCCATTCTCCTGCCTCAGCCTTTTGAGGAGCTGGGATTATAGGCATGCACCACCATGCCCGTCTAATTTCTGTATTTTTAGTAGAAACAGCGTTTCACCATGTTGGCCAGGCTGGTCTCAAACTCCTGACCTCAGGTGATCCACCCACTTTGGCCTCCTAAATTTAAAATGTATCCAGGTTACTGTTGAAACACCCGTCGTTTGGAGGACGTCTGAACAGAGCAAAAAAAGGACAAAGCTATCCTGTATAAAGGATACATAAAGCTGGAACCAGCCCAACAAAAAGGTACTGCCAGAAACTCTATGAAGTAACTAAGATAGGGATCATTTTGGTCTTAACAGGGATTATGAATGAGAAGGAGAGATTTAGGCAAAAGGCTCATCAGCTAGGTCAGACCCACATGTAGATGTGGGGTGGGGATGGGGTAATCTGAAGTCTGATGCTGTCATAAGTATTCTGAAAGCTAAATCCATCCTGAAAATGTTGGGGCACATGGCAAATCTAGCCCTGACCTTCCTTACTGGGGTGTGATATCCTCTCAAACTGCTCCCCGATCTCACTCTCATTGCCTCAGGGTTCCACACTCAGCACATTACCGGCCTCACTCATGGCAGTACAGGGGTTATTGGGAACTCTCAGAAAGACTCCTGAGAAACCAGGTAGGTTTTGGCTTTGACTTGAAGACGGCATTAGTTGGCCCAAGACTGTTTAGCCAAAGTAGTTCTTGCCTCTGTCCTAGAGTGAACCCAAAGCCTCAGTCGCCAAATTACTCTGATGGGTCTCGTGGGCTTTCCAAACCACAGGGGCCCTCTCTGGGCAAGAGTTTGACTCCAGAATTAACCTCAAGCTCAATGTATTTCTTTGGAATCCTTCTGGCATGGAAACAACCTTCCCCTGGTAGGCAGCCCGTGTGTGGTGCGGCATTGCTCAACACAGCACATTCCCCTTAATGTATGACTTCAGAGGGAAGGTGGGGCTAAGGCTGGAGGGCTGAGGTTAGAGGTTTCTCAGAAATGCCTGTCTTACAAAGCAGTTATTTTTCTCAGTTGAACTACTTTGAGCCTATTGCTTTCATTTTCCTCAAATATCTATCAGTGCCTTGTACCTTATGAGCAAACAAACTGAAACAGAAAGTCATTTTTAAGTTAATTTTATATTTGGTACAGGATTAGAAACTGTGCTGTGTTCACACACCAGCTATAGCCTGTAGCACAGAAGCCGTGCCTGCTCTTCCAACACATCGCAGTGATATTCAGTTAGAAGGGGATTAAGGATAAGGAAAAAAAAAAGGTCAGTATCTATTTGTAGGTAATTCTCGAAGTCTCCTTTCAGAATCTCAATTACTTCTTCTTACTTGTATTTTTTTCCATGTGTGTCATGGACTTAGATTTTTTGGAAATACCAACGTCCTACGTTCTCATCAACAGCCATGGATCAAAATGCCAATTACATTTTATTGCAGTGTCCTGAGCTGCCCAGTCACCTCATGCTAAATTTGGGTTTAAATAAATAGAGTATTTTAGTTCCAGTGGTACTAGAAAGCAGCTAGAATAAAGACGGTTTGGTGTATTATTTTTGTACTGCTGTAATACGAAGGATAATTTTGAGAGTTATTTTTTGTTTTGTTGTTTTAAATTAAACAAATATATTTAAGATACTGATCTTTTTCATGAAAGATCCCCAATAAATTAAATATATAACCAGATCTAGTTTCCATTCTGAAAGTGCCAAGTAGAAACAGAGTTGCCAGCCTCTTAACCACTTTAGAACCTTTGACTATGTTCAACGACACACTTCTGGTATTATTCTCTAGTTTTTCGTGTGGGTGCATCTTCTCTCCCCAGCAGGTGCCTAAGGAGAAGGACTCGTGTTCTTCTTCCCTGGACTCTCTGGGAGTACCCACCATGGACCTGGTATACAGTTAGGGAGTCAAGAAATACTCGCTGAAATAATTTGCTCTTAATATAAAATTAAAGTTATACTATCTAGACTTATTTTTAAAACACTATTTTGGCCGGGCGCAGTGGCTCACGCCTGTAATCCCAGCACTTTGGGAGGCCGAGGCGGGCAAATCACGAGGTCAGGAGTTCAAGACCAGCCTGGCCAACATGGCGAAACCATATCTCTACTAAAAATACAAAATATTAGCTGGGCGTGGTGGCAGGCTCCAGTAATCCCAGCTACTTGAGAGGTTGAGGCAGGAGAATCGCTTGAATCCAGGAGGTGGAGGTTTCAATGAGCCGAGATCATGCCACTGCACTCTAGCCTGGATGACAGTGCAAGACTCTGTCTCAAAAAAAAAAAAAAAAAACACAGACACACACATACCAAAAAACACTATTTTTTTTAACATATATACATATATGCAGTACAAAATATAAACTTAGAAGTAAGGCTTCTCTTACCCTTGTCTCCTAGTCACCCAGCTTTCCTCATGAGAGGCCACTAGAGACTTCCCGCGTAACTTTTCAAAAATACTACATTCACTTATACACATCCATTTAGAGAAATATATATGTATGTATCAAATGCCACAAAAGTATATACATTGTCCTGCACTTGATTTTTTTTCACCTAATAATACATCCTGGAGAATGTCCCATGAAGCTAGTACATTTGTTGTTGGCATTTTTTTAAGAGCTGCATAAGAATACAGTCTACAGATGTATATTTCCCCAAACTTATTACTATTATAATCATGTAACAGTAATAGTTTTGTATACATGACATTTTATAAAGGTGTGTGACCAAAGGATAAATACCTAGAGACAAAATTGCTTTGTAAAGGCATTGACAAATTGCTCTCTACTAATTTTCTCTCCAACCAACTTATAATGCATGTGGTGAGTATTTCCTTGACATGCCCTGTGATACCCAAGTGAAGAATATGACATTATTAATGGCAAACACTTACATGGTACTTAGTCTGTGCCAGGCACTGGTCTATGTGCTTTACATATATTATCTCAAATAAGACTCACAACAACCTTGCGAGGGAGGCCCTTTCATCATCTCTAATTTGCAGATGAGATAAAACATTTTGCCTTAGGTCACCCAGCTGGTAAATAGCAAATGACATCTGAGCCCAGCCTGTCTGGCTCCAGGAGTCAGCTCTTGTAACCATGACCCTAAATTGTGCTAATTATGACACTTTTTCATAGTTATTCTGTATGAGATAAAATAAGAATATCTCAAGAAATACATGTTCTACAGTTGAATAGGGAGGACTGTAACCCTCCTTGTTGCAGTCTTTTACACTGACCTGAGTCCCTCCCCATCACTTCTGGAAGAATTGAGCTCCTGGTTCACTAGCATATTCTCTAATGTCAGTGTGGTCATAATTTAGGGGGATATCGATGTGCATGTAGATGAAGCTTTTATTACCTTGGCCTCTCAGTCTCAATGACCTTACCCTCTACTGTACCTCAGGTCTCTTTTCCTGTCATTATAAATGACATCTAGATCTTGTCATCATCAATGACTGCATGTCTTTTATAATGTGCATTTTAAGCTTCCTGCCCTCAGACCTATAGTTCCTATTTTTCTCAGTCACTCCCTCTAACGTCCTTACTCTACCAGACCTTTCACCCAGTGAGGTCTTCATTCTATTGATTCTATCATATTTTTCATTGTCTACCTCCACATTGATGCCCTCATTTTCCCCCTTATGCAGCAGCTTAGGTTTCACAGTCCATTGCCACAATCATTCTTAACCAGACTCTTAACATAGCCTTTTAATAAGTCTATTTGCTCTCTTGCCCCCTTTCAATGTATTCTCTAAACAGCAGGTGACTCTATTAAAATGTAAGTGAGATTAAGTAACTTGTCAACTTAAATTCCTCCAATATCCTCCCATTTTACTCAGAAAAAGGCAAAGTACTTTAAATGGCTTACAAGGTGCATCTCTTGCTTTATTTCATACAATTCTCCCACTTCCTTACCCAGCATAAGCCACACTGGCTTCCCTTTGGTTTCTCTGACTCTCCTGACTAGCTTCTGCCCTGAAGCCTTTGTATTTGTTTTGTGCCTTTGCCCAGTACATCCTTCCTCCAGATATCCACATGGCACCCTCTATCACTTCCACAATCCCAAGCAAGGTAGCATTGCAAGTATGATAATTTCAGTGGCAGAAGTCAGATGTGCAAATATTTACTTTATTAATTTTTGCTACTGAGTTCAACATCGTACATTTCCTTTCATAAACTGAACATTTAATCAGGCTTGAATCACTTATTGTTAAAACTTTTTGTTAAGTTAGGAAGCTTTCTAACTTAACAAAAAACGCTCTTTCTCATACTCTTTTCCTCATAACTAATATAAATTGAAGATAAGAGCTTAGAGACCTAACATAGGAATGGGGATGGATTTGTCCCAGAGCGATAGGTTCTGTAGAGATCGATTTTTGCTTGAAATGTATACTTCCTATTTAGCTGTTTGCAATTTGTTTGTAACAACAAAGAACTGGAAATAGCTTTGATATCTACAAGTAGAAGATGATGCCCGGCATATTTATATGATAAAAGGCTATATAGCCATTAAAAAATCAGTGAAAAATATCTGAAAATGTTGACATGGAAAGATTGTCAAACTAAGTGAGAAAGAATTATAAATGAGAAAAAGATATAGAGCAGTGTATACGAAGTGATTTCTATATATTTTATTTACATATAGCTAAATGATAGTCTAGTTAATATGACATAAATAAATAAATAATATTTCTTTTAATTATGCATGAGAAACCACAAAAAGTTTACTTTGGGGAAAGAGTGTTTAAGGAGACTTAGTTTTTATTCTATTTTTTTTACAGCTTTATTTTAAAATCATGCACATATTTTAAATTTTTATTTAAAGTTTAAGTTATACTAAAATATTAAACTGCATTATGTTGTATGAACTTATTTGTTATTCAGTAGAGAGCATATCACTTTCAGACTCTTACTGAGAATGTAGTACTATGCCAGGTGCTGAGAAGGCCATAGAAGAAGAAGAATCATTGTTGTAAGGAAATTTAAAATATGATAGATGACATAGATTGGCTGTGTCCCCATCCAAATCTCATCTCTAATTTCAGTTCCCATAATCCCCACATGTCATGGGAGGGACCTGGTGGGAGGTCATTGAATCATGGAGGTGGTTACCTTAATGCTGTTCTCATGATAGTGAGTGAGTTCTCATAAGATCTGATGGTTTTACAACGGCCTTTTCTCCCTTTTGCTTGGCACTTCTCCTTCCTGCCACCACGTGAAGCAGGATGTGTTGCTTCCCCTTCTGCCATGATTGTAAGTTTCCTGAGTCCTCCTCAGCCATGCTGAAGTGTGAGTCAATTAAACTTCTTTCCTTTATAAATTACCCAGTCTTGGGTATGCCTTTATTAGCAGTGTGGGAACAGACTAATACAATAGGGAAAATATGATTCATAGAAACAACAGGAGAAGAGCAAGAAATGCATGTCATTCAAGCCAATGTCCATGAAGTGGATGATAGATATCATATGAATTGAGACAAAGAGAACCTTGGTTGGCAAGTGCCATCAGGTAAAGGTGATGTAACCTGAATTTGGTGTTGAAAGAAATGTAGGAATTATACTAAAATAAAGAAATGGAGAAGATAATCCAAGTAGAAGTAACATGTATCAGAAAGCTTTAATAAGGCCACAGGTAAGAAACCAGTAAGCTGAAATGTTGTAGAAAGGTAGATTGGCACCAGCATGAAGATTGATAGAAATGGATAGAGAGTGGGGAGGAAACAAGTTTGAAGACAGAAATAGAAATGAAAGCCCGAGTATTTCAGTCTGAAATGGAAGAAAATAATTTGCATATAGAGAAAAAGATGAATCCAAAATGTGATGAAAAAGAAAAAAACCCTCTCATATAGAGCCTGATTAAATATTAGCACTGTAAAATGATTTTCAGCAAATAAATATTTCCAAAAAATTTTCCATTGCTCTTTGGGCACATATTGATATAATACATATTGATATACTATCATGTCTGTACAAGTAAGAGCTGAAGAATAGAAAAACAGTTTTATGAAGGGTTTAGCAATACAATTAGAGATAGAGGTGGATGCAAGTAACTATAAGTCTGTTAACAAAATTGAATATAAATTCCAATCTTATTCTCAAAAAAGCAGGAAAACAAAATAAAACATACTAAGAATAAACGATGGCAAAATTTAGATGTAACAGAAAATATTGATAACCTGGGCAGATGGAATGAGAAAAAAATACACTGCTAACTCATTGTCTCTATGAGGAAGGAAATGAATGGTTCTATGGGACTCTTAATGTAATGCTTCAACCTTGACTCCAGACATGGGGAAATAAAGTGTTGTCTTCCTAGCTACTTCCCCTGATTTGGCCCTACCCTCCAGGATGAGGTTAATAGAAGGGAGTAGAATCCAAGATCTGGTCTGACAAGGGCAGGGAGTAGAATTCAAGGTCTAGAATGATTACATTGCCATGAACTGTTACACAGAGTACCAGAAGACTGAACGTCTGCGTTTGGTCAAAGAACATTTCCTAATAGATAGGGGTTCCTTGCTTTTACACTGTTGGTGGGAGTGTAAATTAGTTCAACCATTGTGGAAGACAGTCTGGCGATTCCTCAAGGATGTAGAACTAGAAATACCATTTGACCCAGTGATCCCATTACTGGGTATATACCCAAAGGATTATAAATCATGCTACTATAAAGATACATGCACACGTATGTTTATTCCGGAACTATTCACAATAGCAAAGACTTGGAACCAACCCAAATGTCCATCAATGATAGACTGGATTAAGAAAATGTGGCACATATACACCATGGAATACTATGCAGCCATGAAAAAGGATGAGTTCATGTCCTTTGCAGGGACATGGATGAAGCTGGAAACCATCATTCTGAGCAAACTATCACAAGGACAGAAAACCAAACACCTCATGTTCTCACTCATAGCTGGGAGTTGAATAGTGAGAAGACATGGACAAAGCACAGGGAACATCACACACTGGGGCCTTTCGTGGGCTGGGAGGCTGGGGAAGGGATAGCATTAGGATAAATACCTAATGTAAATGACGAGTTGATGGGTGCAGCAAACCAACATGGCACATGTATACCTATGTAAAAAACCTGCATGTTGTGCACATGTACCCTAGAACTTAAAGTATAATAAAAAATAAAAATAACAAAAATAAAAATAAATAAATAAATAAATAAATAAGGGTTCCATTAATCAGCAGTGCCATAGTAACTAGATGAGACAACTTGGATGCAAAACTACAACTCCATGATTTATTACTTAGCATCTACGCCAATCTCAGTCAGCAGGAGTAGCAATAAGTCTGTGATACCCAGAAGGTCTTTCTTATGCTTCATTTTATGAGTGTCACATTCTTCTCCTACATTGACCCCTATCTTAATCTCCATTAAAAATCATTTCCAAACGACTTCTAGACTCTCCGTTAGTGTGGCACTCCAAGTACATGCGGCTCCTCCCTTAATTATTGTTTACTTCATTTGCATCTGCGATTTTTTTTTTTTTTTTTTAGATGAAGTCTTGCTCTTGTCCCCCCAGGCTGGAGTGCAATGGGGCGATCTCGGCTCACTGCAACTTCCGCCCCCCAGGTTCAAGTGATTCTCCTGCCTCAGCCTCCTGAATAGCTGGGATTACAGGCACCTGCCACCACGCCCAGTTAATTTTTGTATTTTTAGTAGAGATAGGGTTTCACCATGTTGGCCAGGCTGGTCTCTAACTCCTGACCTCAGGTGATCCACCTGCCTCGGCCTCCCAAAATGCTGGGATTATAGGCGTGAGCCACTGCACCCGGCCTGCATCTGGTTTTTCTTTTGAACATTTATTTTAATACGATAAGGTTCTTTTGTCAGATCAATGCAATAAGTCAGAACTTTTAGTGCTGCCTGGTCTGGTTTCTAATATGTTCTGGCCTGCCCTTTTGTGGTAGACTGAATAAGAGCTCTGAAAATGTCTACACCCTAATCTCTGGAATCCATACATTTGTATTAGGTGGAAAAGGTACTGTCCAGATGTGATTCAGGTGTACACCTTGAGATGAAGAGATTATCTTGGTTTATCCATTTGAGCCTAATCTAGTCACATGAGCCTTTAAAAGAGGGGTAACTTCCAGCTGCAGTCAGTTACAGAGAAGTGCAGTGTGAGAACAAATCATTACTGATTTGAAGACAGAGGAAGAAGACTATGAGTCAAGGAAAGGGGGTGAAATCCAGATGCTGAGAACAGCTCTCAGCTGACAGTCAGCAAGGAAACAGGACCTCAGTTGTACAATTACAAGAAGTGAATTCTGTCAACAGCCTAACTGAGCAAGGAAGCAGATTCTTCCCCAGAACATGGCACTCCAAAATATGCCACTTTGGCATAAGGATGATTTTGAGTTGAAGGCTTTTAAGATTTAACAGATGCAGAAAGAAGGCTTCCTTTATCTGACCAAAACAGAACTTTTGAGAAATGAGGGCTGTTGTAAACTCTCTCTCCAGAGGAAGTTTTGTGTCCGTGAAGAAAGCGGAAAGTTGGCACCAAGATGACCTTTACAGACAAGCCTCACTCTATTTGTTTCCCCCTTCTATTTACCCTCCGACAGTTTGCCACCTTGGAAGCCTGAAGCCTTTTGTTTTGTCACTTCTCTACAAATGTATTGTTCTTTGTTAAAATTGTTTATGTAAGCCCAAGTTCTAACCACTCCTTTGAGTTGCTCACCTCTAAGTTTCTCCCAGGTGTATTCCGGGTGCATGTGTTAATAACTGAGTTCTGCTTGCTTTTCTCTTGTTAATCCATTTTCCTGTCAATTTTATTCACAGGACTTCTCACCTACAGAAACTGTAAGATTATAAATTTGTGCTGTATTAAGCCAATACAATTATGGCTATTTTTACAGCAACAATAGAAAATGAATATACCTTCCTTGTGTGGTTAAGAGAATGCAAGTTATTCCCTGGGTTTTACTTTTCTCTTTTCTTATTTTATTTTTCGTTTCTACTCAGGATGAAATGGATAGATACAATTCTTCATTTCATAATCTTTCAGTTGCTTCTGGACAATTCTGATGTTTATCTGTGGGTAGTATAAATAGATTATCTTTGTGATAAATGCATCTCACTCAACATAGAAGTTAAATAATGTTTAAATGTTAAAAAAAAATACAATTTAAAATAGGATGAATATGATATAAAACAATAGAAAATATAAAAACAACTGTTTCTACATTTGTTTGACTCTATCAGAGCCCATATGGCAGAAATTAGAAAATAAATAAAACATCAATAAAGCATTATTAAAAATAAATAGAAATTATTTAACAAGTACACAGAATAAGATAAAATATTTGTATTATAATAAGAGATGTAAATAGGAGCGATTAGAGAGTAAAACAAAATTCAATGGCATACTTAAAGAAACACAAAAAGTTTAAGTATTAAAGCAATTACAAAAGCATATCTAATACATTCAAATTATAAGAAGGCATTGAATACAATCATATTGGACAATAAATAAAAAACAAAAAGTGCAAAATAAGATAAAAGCATTCTTCTTATATTATTAAGCTATATAATTTACACACAAAATTTAATGACAGTAAATCCTCTAATAAAATTTTATGAAAGTGTATAAACTAAAACTGTTAAGGAGGAATTAAAAAACAAAAAGTTAAGGATCCAAAAGTATCTTGCGGTATTTGACAAAAGAGTAAAATGTAAGTAATGATACCTGTGCTCTGAGTTGAAGAATATGATTTGTTTAAATATACTAAATATATTTAAACATATGCCTTATAAAAAGATATGAGACCTTTGTCTTTTTCCAGTGCCCATTAATTAGCATGCTAATACATTCCTGAAAAGAGACATTTTATAGGTCTTTTTTATAGGACCTTTTCTTAAGGTCATATACCTTAAAAAACTGTTTTATTTAATATTAAAAATTTGCAACAATAGATTAACCTTAAAATATAATCGTTTAGAAATATTAAAATACTTTACTTAGTATTTATTGCCTTAAGGTAGAAATCACCACTATAATACAGAATATTTACAAATCAATAAGCATAAGGAAGCCATATGGCATCTAGCCAAGGGAGCACTCAGAGGAAAATTCATACATTAATACATTTATAGGATTAAATAAAAAAAATAGGAAACTCTAGCACGGATAAGAGCCATCAAACAGGCAAATGAGACAGATGGTATACATGCTTTTCTAGGGAAATGTAAATTTAACCAAAATTAGTTGAAAGATAGTATGACTAAATAAAAAATGCAATTCTTTTTTTTTTTTTTTTTTTTTGAGACGGAGTCTCGCTCTGTCGCCCAGGCTGGAGTGCAGTGGCGCGATCTCGGCTCACTGCAAGCTCCACCCCTCGGGTTCACGCCATTCTCCTGCCTCAGCCTCCCAAGGAGCTGGGACTATAGGCGCCCGCCACCACGCCCGGCTAATTTTTTTGTATTTTTAGTAGAGACGGGGTTTCACCATGTTCGCCAGGATGGTCTCGATCTCCTGACCTTGTGATCCGCCCGCCTCAGCCTCCCAAAGTGCTGGGATTACAGGAGTGAGCCACCGCGCCCTGCCTGATAATGCAATTCTTATTTAAAAATTACCCTTATGAAAGTTCTTCTGACCCCTCCACAAAACTACATTTGTTCTACTCTACCATGAGTCTGATGCCATTCTAAGAAAGGGACAGGAGAAATTTATATGTAGGTACCGTAGATGGTTGCCATCCGTGATTAGTTCTAGGCAGCAATGGGCAGACTTCTGTGATAGAAATGTGTACCCCAATGATACACAACATGCCACCATAAGAAACACAGTTCTTTAAAAGTTCAGCTGCCTTTTAAAGATATGAACCATTAAGACTATTATACCTAGATGAGTTTATTGGGTTGCTTTACTCCACAATGAAAAGAGAAATGAAGGAAAATGGACCATTAATGTGGTTTTGGTTTGCAAACACTTCAAATATCTTGTCCCCTCTTCTTTCTCCAGCATCACTATCGTAATCAGTTCTTCCCAAGCTTCTACCACATTTGCACAGGTGTAATCTGATGATACCTTGGTTTGGCTGGCTACACACACTTCTAGCCTCTGTTATAGATTTCTTTAATGTGGAGGTATGGGATGGCCACTGAGACTCACTTTTTACTTACACATTTGTATCCTAGAAGTGTGGGAACATTAGTGCACAAGGATTATCCTCTGCCAAAAAAGGAGGAGAACATTTGGCCAATTGCTTCCCCTCTCATCCCAATAGCGGAAGGCAACTCAGTAACAAGCTCTTGACTTGGCTTTCACTCCTTCAAGGTTTCAGCTGCCCTGCTACTCATTCCTTCTACCTGGATCACTTCCTCCAATTAGTGTTTAGCTTTTTCTATGGATGTTAAAAATCACTGACCAGTAAAAATTAAAGGAATTAAATTCCTCATGAAGAATTCTACCTACTTTAGGGGTAGAGAGAATGGGTCAAAGAATGGAAAGAAGAATATTTTTCAGCCATTTCACTTCATTTTGCTTTCACTTGTTTAGTATTAAGTAACAAGACTAATTTGACAATCTCTTCTCACACCCATAAACTCTCACATCCAGGAGAGTTAGAAAATATTCCCCTTCAATTTTTAAGAATGAATCCTGTCTGATGCTGCCAATGTGCATGAACTATAGTCTTTAAATATGTATCAATTTTTTGAAGCCATAGGTTTAGAATAAAAGGTTAAAGAAACACATTTCAGGAAAGTCAGGGATACAATGACAGAACGTTTGCATGAAAGCCCTTTGGCATTCTTTCAAAAATTTTAAAACTTATTATTCAGCAAGAGAAAGACTGGTTAATACCCTCTGTGATTTCAGAGAAATTAACACTTCAGCAGATGTCAAAGATGTTTTTTTCTTTAAATGAAGACCTTGCTCCAATTCAAGCTTTGGAGCAAATTTTCTACAGGCATACCCAAAAGCATTTATGGACTATAATGAAGGTCTATTGTAGGAAATGTCTAAATTATCCAGTTTGGGGAAAAAAGAAAGAGCAAACATTAAAAGCAATGGGGATGAAATAGATGAAAGCCTGTGGTTTACATTATTGTTCACTATTTTTTTCCACTCCTCAGATTAGAACTTTCTTTGCAGCATGCCATAAATACATATTTCTGTTTTATAACAATATGTGTTATTGTACCACAGGTGACCAAATGGGATTTTTTTTGGTTTTGTTTTTGTTTTTCCTATTGACTGCTAGCTGTCTGTCTTGCCAATAGTGTTAGAAATGAACAAAGATGTAGACCTCAAACTTAGGTTATCAATCCTGGGGACAGTAATCTGCTCAGAATTTAGGGCTCTGAGGTTGGTCTGCGTCTGTCCAATTATAATGTCAATCCTGAGGGAGAAGAACTAGAACACAAGGAGGAAGAGTAAGCACCAAGCTGGAGACAGATTCAGGCAGTCAGAAACAGTGGTGTGCTCTGACCTTGAGTGATATTTTAGATTACTGCTTCACTCTTCCTTTCCTTGAATGTGAAGAGACACTGTAATTGTGTAGCATAAATTTTCAAGTCTCCATTTAGGCTATAGGGAAAAGTGTAAGAATTCCAATTAGATTTTACGTTTATCTTCACCCTTTTTAGTTCCCTGCTGTGAGTCAAGGGAATTATATATGAGCACTAGTTAATTGTCTAGGGGTTAGAGATATCTATTATTAAGCACCAATGAGTCCAGAAGTACAACCTATTTCAGAATCCATACTCTATTCTAATTTTCCTTTGGGTCAGGGAAGAGCAAAGCAATGGCATGAATTTAAATTCTTGTTCCACAAGAGAAAACAATGTCCAAGAACCAAACTGTTTTTCAAAAATAATCAGCTCTCCAGTTGGCTGGGTTCCATTATGGATTTACTCTTAATGCAGAAGCTGCAGAGGTAAAAAGTGTTAAACACTTCTTAGAACAGAGGCCGCAGATTACTCTGTAGTCTATTGAGCCACAAGAGAAGTGCATGCATATGCATCTTTTTTTATTACTAGAGAGCATTCTATGGGAAGGATCTGGTGGCACTTCCTAAATTCCCTACAGTCTGCAACTCTGAGATTTCCTTTTTTTACAGTTTTACACTTGTAGACGAAAAGATCTAAACAGCTTGACAGTTTCTTAGTTAATCTGATCATTTGGGGCAGCCAGATTAAATAATTCAGGTCCCGGTTGAAATACGATTGACCTGGATGACCTGGTTTGCCGGTTTGCAATTATCCAGTTGACCCAGATATTGCCAAATCTCCACTTCATGGCAGTTTTACAACACTTGGAACCACTGCTTTAAGTATCCGTCTCTTGAGACTTAAGCTGGCTCCTGCTGCTAATGAGATTAGTTACACACATGTTGCCTACTCGAAACCTCCTTCATTGCCAAAAAATCCAGCTTTAGAAGTAGATAAAAGACAATGAGATTGTTAGAGAATTAGGGTTCAATGCCATTTTGGAGGGTTAGCCAAGGTCATACTTTCATAGTGTAGGGGGAACAGGAATATCATAGGAATTAGGGAAAACTGATAATTTCCATTTTCACTTCAGCATCACTGGGGGCTTGAGTTAGAGTAGCCACCAGATTAATGTGGCTTCTACAACTACTGAGGGCAAGCTTTCTGTAGGGTGCCCTTGGTGACTGGGTCTAAGTTTTCTCAGGAAATCCTGTTAGAATTTTCACTGGCAGAGTTGTGGAAAGATGACAAGGCTGCCTGAGAGCCCCACCTCCCTAGTATGTTCTGGTTGGCAAGACTGCCAACCAGAGTGGCTTTGAGCCCAGGCTGAGTGGCCAAAGCCACCCCAATTATGCACAGTGTGCATTTAGCAAAGCCCTGGTTGGCAGGCATTTGGGGTCATGTAGACTTAATTTTCATTTTCAAAAACACCCCTGAAGCAAGCAGTGGGTACCCCTAAAGAGGTTTGCTGCATATTTTGCCCCTCGTTCTATATTACCTCATGTAAATAAGAGGTAGTTTTCTCCATGGGTTTAGTTTCATGTAGAACACTAAACAGGGAATTACAGCTGTGGCACAAAATTGTAGTAAAAATCGAATCAGTGGGAGCAAGTCACAAAATGTGCTTTTACCCTGAGAATTTTCCTCATTGTCACCCTTATATTGCAAATTACCCAGTTACATATCGCATAAAGAGGTGTGTTTATAAAGTCAAATTTTATAAAGGTCAAATTTCTCACTCTAATTTATGCATCAAAAGTGAATATGTAGTCATAAGTAATTTTAGTCTCATAACCAGAAAAAAAAAACACACACCTCTAGGTATATTTATCTAAAATATAACAAAAGATGCTTATATATGAAAAATAGTGAAACAACAGAAAAAAAGAAATTATCTTAAACTGCAGTCAAATAAACTTGTATTATATATTAGAAGCTTTCTAATTCTAACTCTGGAATGTTTTATGAAGAGAAACGATGCTATCTGGTTGTCAGAAGATTTTTTTTAGGTAAGATTTAATTAATTAATTAGAAAATTTTCAGAATGACTTATTTATTTAGAAGCAGAGGTGAAACTAAATGATTTTTAGAAGCCCCTTGTGAACCTAGTCTTCTGTATTCAAATTTATTGATGATAAATTTGCCTTGTGTACCTGGGAGGCATAAATATTAAAGAGGACACTAGACTCTCCCTACTCTACATTCACCCTTTCCTATTAAGAAAGCCCTTCCTGGAATCATTCAAGAGGACTCAGTAAAAAGTAGTTAACTTCAAAGTGATACCAGGAATTGGCAGTTTCAGCCCACATTGTAGTGGCGTGCTAGGGTATATGCATCCTTGATTTCATTATAATTATCTGTTCTTTTTCTCCCCATCCCCCTTACCCCACCTGGTTTTATAGCAATTTCTCAACCCCCTGATAATTAGGGTGGTCAGTCTTCACGGGAGTTTGAATTTCAAAATCTTGAAAGGGTTCTTGGATTGTAAAACAAGACTAAGATGAATGTTATTTGCTGGAGAGGAGGGAATCTTAAGCACTGGAAGGTGTCAAAAGTCCAAAGCATTTTTAGGATTCCCATTAGGAAAGCTCTTGGGAGTGGGAATTGTCTAGTAAATATCACTCAGGTGAAAGGCTTTCGGGGAGTTGACCTAGGAGATCACAGACAATTTTTTTTTTTTTTTTTCTGACTGGAATTTCTACCTTATCTCTCTGGTTCCCAACCTTGTCCCTGATGTTGGGTTGCTGTCTTTCTCTGGAATGTCAATAACTACCTCATTTTTTACCTTTTTTTAAACCTCTTTTTGTTTTCCTTAGGCCTCTGGAATTTGGGCCAACATGACACCAATTGCATACTCTCATGGAGGCCCAGCAGCCTCCTGGACTTCATTTTCACCTTACTCTTCCTCAGTGACAATAGCAAAAAAGAAAGGAAATAAAAATATATTGAAAACAAGGAAAATATGGGCCTAAAAGGTGTTGGAAGGAAAGGGACTAACATTAGATCAGAAGAAGGCACTATTATGTAAGTTTCAGCTAGAAATATGCAAGAATATGCTAGAATACTCTGCAAAACACAGAAACTCACTTTCATTGGATTGTTATTTTATCAAAATCAGACAGATGAGACTGTCAGAAACACTGCATCCACCTAGTAATTGTATCTGCCATCTGTACTGTGATCCTTAGCAACCAATTGTTATTACAAGCATAAGGCTATATGAAATGCCCAGAGTATCTCCAGATTCTACAGATATTTTAAAAAGATACAGTTTTCATTCTGGCTGCCAAATAAATAAGCAAACAGAATTATATCATAAAAACATGGTCAAAATCAAGCAAAAATTGTTTCATTAACTTACTTGAACTGTCATTTCTGTCAGTGTTTTAAACACTGGTATCCAATATGTTCTATTTACTCTTTTACAATTGGATGGTCTCTGGTCTTAGTCCCATAAGTATGTGGGAATAGTGCCAATCCCCAGGAATGGCACCTGGGCCCAAGGAATATCCGTATGCACGCATGCTTCTATAGGGATGGAGGTGTAGTGTTAGCTACGTACACTTGAAGTATGTCTAACTGTCTTTTCCAGGTTGCTCTCCGGGGCCAGCTCCCAGCAAAGACATAAAGCAAGTGAATTGTGCTTTTGGTGCTCTAAGCTTTGCCATTTTTATTCCCCATTCTTTAGTATTCACTACCCTCAGCTTTATTAACTTTGTCAAAATTTAGTCTCAGGAAAAGGTCTCCTGGAAATATTTTTAAGTCTTAGTATGAAATTTGAAATGTCACTCCTTCTAGGGTGATTTGTTTTTATTTTTAATGCTAACTATAGAGTAAAATTCTGTATCACTTTTAAGGAATTCCACACATCCTTGGGTAGGTGAGAAAGAGATTCTGGAGGGAGATCAAAGAAAGCCCTCTCAGGACACTAAACACTCCTTGAGTTCACACACATACACACACACACACACACACACACACACACATACACACACTCTAAGGTGAAAGAATTAATGTATATCACCTTTCTGACATGTGTTAGAAGGCACAGCAGTTATTGGTATGTTTCTCACTAAATTCTATGCTGCAAGTAAGATTCAAGAGAGAGGTTAAATTATTTCATAATGGTCACACAACTATTTAAAATTAAGTCCACAATAAAAACATCAGCCAACGCCTAGTCTCTTTTCTCTGTATATTCTAATCATTTTTGTTGATTTGAGTTTGTATGGAAAGCATTAATGGAGCATTTTCTGGGCTCAAATTCACATAAAATTACTGGAGGAACCAAATGAGAAAAATGCAAAATCCTCTCAGAAACCTCAGGGAGAAGCCAGACCCATTTTAATGTCTGAGGTCTTCATTCATTTTTTTTTTCCATTTCTGAAGAGACTCTTCATTTATCATCTTTGCGTCATCCTTTCCTTTGGTTAACGGATGGTGTTACGCATATTCTTTGATTACTGACTGATCTTTTATAACTTCTATTTTGTGAGGCATGAAACATTTCGCACCACAAAACATGGCATTTTCACTATAGAGTAACTACATATTTATTTCCCTGAAAATGTCCCTGAGATCTGGGTGCTTCATTTTCGGATTTTCCAACTTTTTCCCTTTTATTGATTTCATTATTACTATCAACATCTTGTCGCGAAATTGTTTCCTTGAAAATCATAGGCAAAATTAATATAGCATTTGTTCACAAATGCTATTGTATTCTCTACTTCCTATGAGAACACATGTCCTAACATTAGATGAACTTACAGGCATCAGAACAGGTAAGAAGTGCCTGATATTGAATCTTTTTAATGTTTGACCTTTCTTCATTTACTGCTCTTTAATCACCTATGTGCATACCAAGAAGAAAAGGTCATAAACATCATTTCATTCTTTAACTATTACTGATTAAGTAAAGGCATATTAAAACGATAGTTGACTTCCATTAGCAAGGCAAGTCAAGCAGTTCATAAGTTACCTGTTTTCATTTATGCAATAAATATTAGTAACCTCCTATCACATATGCCAGGCACTGTTTTTGAGTTAGGGAAATAATGGGGAGCAAAAGATGTGTCTCTACTCTCCTACAGGTTAATTGGGGAGACAAGTAGCAGTCAAACAGAAATGCAAATGAATTTATCATTACAAATTAAGACATGTATTCTATCAGAAAAAAAAGAAGAAAAGAAGAAAAGAAAGAAGGAACCAAAGAAAAAACAACTTTATATGTGAGTTTAAACCAAGGGAACCTACCCTAAAATGAGAATTTGAGGAAGTTAAAGGGAAGCTTCAAGAAAAAGGGATCTTTAAGCTGAGATTTGAAAGATGAGGAAGGTTAAATTAAGAGAAAATGATGAAAAAGCTTTTATAAACAGAGAGTATAATCAAATACATGGCATTTGGAAAGAGAATGGAGACTTTAGAGATAGACAGAAGGCAACTTGGCTGGAGCTCATAGACTGAGGGACAGAGTGATCATTGATATGGTTTGGCTGTATCTCCACCCAAATCTCATCTTGAATTATAGTTCCCCTAATCCCCACATGTTGTGGGAGGAACCCAGTGGGAGGTAATTGACTCATGGGGGTGGTTACCCACATGCTGCTGTTCTCATGCAGGTGAGTGAGTTCTCACAAGATCTGACTTTTTTTTGTTATTTTTTTGTTTGTTTGTTTTTTGTGTTTTGAGATGGAGTCTCTCACTGTCACCTTGGCTGGAGTGCCATGGTGCCATCTCAGCTCAATGTGACCTCTGCCTCCCGGGTTCAAGCGATTCTTCTGCCTCAGCCTCCCAAGTAGCTGGGATTACAGGCACCTGCCACCACACCCAGCTAATTTTTTGTATTTTTAGTAGAGATGGTTTCACTATGTTGGCCAGCCTGGTCTCAAACTCCTGACCTTGTGATCCATCTGCCTCAGCCTCCCAAAGTGCTGGGATTACAGGTGTAAGCCACCACATCCGGCTGATCTGATGGTTTTATAAGGGGCTTTCACCCCTATTGCTCACACTTCTCCTTGTTGCCACCATGTCAAGAAGGACATGTTTTCTTCCCCTTCCGCCATGATTGTAAGTTTCCTGAGGCCCCCCCAGCCCTGCAGAACTGAGCCAATTAAATCTCTTTCTTTTATAAATTATCCAGTCTCTGGTATGTTCTTATAGCAGCATGAGAACAGATTAACACAATCATTAATAAGGCTAGGGTGATAAGCAAACGCCAGACCAGGTGGATATTTTAGGATGTTGAGGATGTTGCTGTTTACATTAGGAGCAATGGATTAACACAATCATTAATAAGGCTAGGGTGATAAGCAAACGCCAGACCAGGTGGATATTTTAGGATGTTGAGGATGTTGCTGTTTACATTAGGAGCAATGGGAAGTAACTGCAGTGTTTTAAGCACAGGGGTATCATAATTAAACAGCTTTGCATTTTGAAAATATTTTTTATGCTCCTGACAGAGTTTAGGTTTGCTGAACACAGAGAACTCAGTGACCAATTTTGTCCTTTAACGTCCAATTATTATAAAGATTTGATGGGAGAGAAAAATGAGGGATACACTCTTTAATGCTATTTGGGAATTTCTTTCTTCCTTTCTCTCTTCTGCCTTCCTTTCTCCCTTCTTTTATTTCTGTCTCTCTCTTCAATCGATAGTATCACTTCCTACTTCTTCAAATAGAAAAGCTACTTGAGAAAGCCATTCACTAAGCTTCACTTAGAAAGATGTGTAGAAGACTGTGAATTCTTATACATGGTGTGAAGAAACAGTAATAAATAATAACCAGTGGCCAAATGCAGATTTATAATCTAGAGGCAAATTTGTTTTTCCATTGGATATAATGCTGTGCAGGGGAAATATGATGTAATTCCATATTTACAAAGATATTCTAATCCAGAGTGGAATGTTATTCAAAAAAACCCATGGATGTTTGATAAAATTATAGTATTAAAAGGAGCCTCTTCATCTAGACAGAAGTACACCAATAAATACTGAGCAGATGTTTATACTATTTCTCTTAGTGCTCAAAGACGTGAATATTTAATTTATTTATTCATTCATTCATTTACTAAACACATTTTTATGGATCCCAACCCTATGCCAGGCACTGGTTCTTAGGATATAGGAGAGAACTGAAGAGATAATGATTTTGTTTTTCTGGGGATTATATTTTGAGTGGGGTAGACAATAAAGAGATAAGCAAGGAAATAGATGGTATGTTAGATGATACAAACAAAGGGAGGTGGGATTGCAAGACTGCGATTGGGGGGCTTGATATATATATATATGTTTTAAACATTTATATTTATATATTTATATTTGTATATATGAAAAATCACCATCAGTGAGGTTTTCTCTTAATATACCTATCTTACACATATAATACTTATGAATGTAAGTACATAATACTTATGAATGTAAGTATTATATATGTGTATGTATATATGTGTGTGTGTACATGTATATATATGTATGTATGTATATGTATATTAAAAGAAAACCTCACTGATGTGGCATTTGAGCAGGTTAGAATGCTGACAGCCTAAATCAAAGAAAACCCTTTTACAATTTTTTCTCAGCCCATTGGGTAAAGACACATAAAGAGTCACCTTAAATGTTATTATTTTTTTAACACCATGTTTAAATGTTGTTTTCTTGGTATTTGATATTAGAAAATCATGCCAGTGCTACCTCATCCGCAATCTGCCATCCCCTCTTCTGCTTTATTTTTAATTGCTCGAGGCCGATCTACTTCTGGCTCTGCCTGAAGTGCCTGCTATTTGATGATTATGGATGCTATGAATAGCATGTTTGGGAAAAGATTCACTTCATTTGCAATACAGTTTAATTATAAAAGAACTTTTTAAACTAATGTTTTCTTGCTAATTCCTTTCTCAAACTTGGTCTTTCTCTTTGTTTAGCAGATGTGTTTTCATTATAAACCCATTTAGCAATTTTGAAACAAGTTCACAACAGAGCCCATTTTCTAAACAAATCTGCACAAATATGCAAACTGAACTTGACATTGAGTTTTACAGCTGCAACAATCAAAGGATAAATAGTTTTGTCAAGAATTACCATTCTGAGATTGGAGATTAAATCATTTTCATTAATGAAATTCATTTTCAGGGCAGTATCATCGAATACTGTTACCTGTCTTAATATTCAGAAACAAAATATCATATTTATGTATAATACCATTGATTTTAAAGTATTTAGTTAAGAATCTACTTCTTCAACTCAATAGTACGAAAATACGTCAAGCAAAATCTACACACATTTTAAAAATTGCCTTTATGTAAATACTTTAAGGTTGCCTGTCTGTTGTTGGCTTCAATATTTCATAGAATTCTTTTTAAGTGGATCAAATTATTCAATGTGCACATATGGGTTGTATTATAAGATATTATGGACTAAATGTTTATGTCCTCCCCCACTTCATATGTTGAATCCCTAAGCCTCAGTGTGATGCTATTTGGGGATGGGGATTTTGAAAGATACTTAGGGTTAGATGAGGTCATGGCAGTCGACTTTTGGTCTGATGAAATGAGTATCCTTGTAAAAGACACCAGAGAACTTGCTCTCTCCCTCTCCTCTCACACACAAAGAGATCATGGCTGCATACAAGTCAAGAGAAGAGGACTCAAAATGAAACCTACCTTGTTGTTATCTTGATCTTGAACTTCCCAGTCTCTAGAACTGTGAGAAAATAAATTTCTGTCATTTAAGCTACCTGATCCATCATACTTTGATATGGCAGCCTGAGCAGACTAAGATTTAAGCTGTATCTGTTCTGTTAATAAGTGAATTCATCGATAAATACAATATGACAGAAATACTAATCTGATGTTTTTCTGTGTAGGACATTGGAATAATGAAGCAAAAATATAAAAAAGAAACTGGCAAAGCACATGCACAATGGGCATTCAAGTCATCTTACTGAATACAAACAAGTACTTAAGAAACACTGACATCACAGGGTCCTGATTCTCCTTACAGACACTTAAAATTCAGAAGCATATGCAAATGAATAGTCCACCTTCAGGCCTGCCTAGTTTTCAATAGTGTTTGACCTATTAGGCAATATATTAAGGAAAATCAATAAAGTTGACATCTCACTATGGTAGTGATGTTTATTTATCTTTATGTAGTTGAACTCTTTTATTTTTAAGGAGTATATGAAAATTTTAAATTTTTGTTTAGTTTTTGGACCAGCGTAGAACTATTCAAGACATAACTGAAGAACTTATATAAAATTACTGCTATGATTTAAGTATGTTTTTTATTTTGTGGAAATCTGAATAACATGACATAGAAAGTTATATTCAAAAACAATTGTTAAATATGGTATGAGAGAGATTGCATGACTAAAATTCCCTCGAGGATTTATGAAAGATGCTTAAAACCACATACAATTTCCTTGTTTTTTTTTTTTTATCACCTCAGTCAGAGTGAAAGGTAAGGTCATAATGCAAATATTATTTTTACCTAGAGATTAAGGATATGAGAGGGAGGTATTGAATTTATTTTCTCAGTCATGTTTAAAATTAAGCCAGTTTCCCTTCTCATTCATAGAGTCCACAATAATGTTACAACTTGCCCTTAAATGTCTGGTGAATAACAATTAATGATTAATTACTAGGTCTTTTCAAATATTTTTAATGGTTTATTATAGGAGATAGTAAATACTAACTAGCCCTTGGTTATGCTTTCTTTTCAACTTAAGTTACATTAAGGTTTAATTCTATCTGAGCTGAAATAAATCATGCAATTGGGTGTAATTTGTTGGGGGAAAAAGTCTCAAAACAAAACATAAATCATATGCACACAAAACTAATTAAATTAAGTATGATTCAGAAAAATCTAAAGCACTAAGAAATCAGGACATTCTTACAAGTTAACCTTTGTCAATATGTTCATAGAATTTTAAGTTATTTTGAATAGACAATAAAGCTACCCAACCAAATTGTGCTCTACATGTACACATTAAACCTTGACCAATATTAATTAGCAAGCAGGCACACAAGAGTTCATGTGGTATCTTTTTTAAGCTCTCTGTCCTTTGAGGAGCTACAATAATCAATTTATACAAATTGTCACTCACAGCAGAACTAAGTCTAGAGGCAAGATTCTTTTACTATCTGGTTGCATCAGGCAACCAGAAATCATGTGAATTCAAATGCCTGAATTGGCAAGAATAGGGCTTATCTCATAAGTATCTTAACCAACTTATGTATATTGAATACCTTTAATTTAACCAATTAAAACTCATTTCTACCATTTGTGATGGTAATTGAAAAGTCACTATTATCACCTATTAAAGCCTACCTCTTACCTTTAAATATAGTAATTAGCATATCCTTGATTGGTGATGGAGAAATGGATAACAAAATCACTTTGGGCTGTCTCTAGAATGGACTTCAGAAATAGAATGTCAGGGACTGATTTAGCACCAAGATTGTAGCCCAGCCTGAAGAATACACATATAGCATCATATTCATACTACACAAAGAATTTTAAACCTGACGAGCTCATCTCTGTCCAACCTATCCATTAGGTTGTGTCTGACACCAATGATATATCCTGAGATCTAATTTAATGCAAAATAGATTAGTGCTAATTGTAATGCCATCTAAGAATGATTTTAATTGCTTTCATCTTGACTTTTCTATTCATTTTGTGTCATATTTACAGTATGCCACATATTGTATTAAACCACCCACATTGTTGAACTCAGGCTTTGTGATATGACTTCATTTGACCAATAAAATATGAGTAGAAGTGGAGTGTAATATTTCTGAGAAGGTTTAGGAGGCAGAATATGGTCAACTGTGTTCTCTTTTCTCTCTATCACAAGGCTGACAATATTTCAAGCAGATAATTCACACCAGTGTGGGTCAAGAATTAAAATATGGAGCAAAACTGCATTCAACTAATAAGAGTCATATAGCATAAGTGAGAAATAAATCATTGTTGTTTTCAGCCACTGAGATATTGGAAATACTATAACATCAATTAAGATATCCTAACAGGGTGTAGCCATAGCAAACTACCCAGAATTACAAGTAGAGGCTTACTATGTCTTCATTAACAAACCTGGAGTGTGGAATTTGAAAGCTGCTAAGTCTGGGTTACATCCTGACTGCAGCTGTTACTAGCTTTGTGACTGACTTGTCCACTCTTTGTTTTCCATCTTATTATAAACAAATATTAATAATAATTAAAATAGAACTAATAATATTATTCAGAGACTCTAATGAAAGTTAATTGAGAAAATGTGTCTAATATTCTTATGATAAGGCAATATATTATATAAATTTTTTGTTATATGATTATAATGACTTAATTGATGTCTTAAAAAATACTCTGCTGTGATTCCTTTCTGTGGATAAACCTTATAGGCATAGCATTTCTACTTACAAAAGGAGTTAGGAGTTTGTTTTTACACTTGTTCATGAAAAAGCTTATTTGCAATTTGATTTCCTAGCACAACTTTGGACATTTCCTTATACTTTTTATATCCAAGGGTAACATTTTATTGGAAGAGCCTCATGGCATTGGCAAACTGGAAATATATGCTGAAATATCCACATTTTAGATCAGCAGTTCTCAAAGTTTCTGTTCTTAAAAATTTCTTGGAAATCTCAAAAGTTGTTGAGGACCCTAATGAGTTTTTGTTTATGTGGGTGATATGTAATGCCTTTATTATATTAGAAAAGAAGGCTGGGCATGGTGGCTCACGCCTGTAATCCCAGCACTTTGGGAGGCCGAGGTGGGCAGATCACCTGAGGTCAGGAGTTCGAGACCAGCCTGGCCAACATGGTGAAACCCCGTCTCTACTAAACATACCAAAAATTAGCCAGACATAGTCGTGGGCGCCTGTAATCCCAGCTACTCAGGAGGCTAAGACAGGAGAATCACTTGAACCCAGGAGGCAGAGGTTGCAGTGAGCCAAGTTCATGCCATTGCACTCTAGCCTGGGCAACAAGAGCGAAACACTGTCTCAAAAAAAAAAAAAAGAAAGAAAGAGAGAGAGAGAAAGAGAGAGAGAGAGAAAGAAAGAAAAGGAAAGAAAGAAAGAAACAAAGAAACAAAGAAAGAAAGAAAGAGAGAAAGGAAGGAAAAGAAAACCAGGGAATTTCAAATTTTTTATTTGTTAAAATAAAAATATTACCATTACATATCATTAAAATAATGTTTTATAAAATAACTTTATTTTATGAAACAAAAACTAATGAGATGAATGGAATTATTTTAAATCTGTGCAAATCTCTTTAATATCTGACAGTTAAAATATAGCTGGATACTCATACTGCTTTTGTATTCTGTTATCATATGTTGCTTTGGCTGAAGTTTATAGAAGAAATATGACTTCAAACAGTTGCAAAACGAAGAAATATTTTAGTAGCCTTTTAAAAATTATGGATATTATTCTTTGATATTATACAAAAACTTGATATGTGGTAGTTTCTTAAAGGTCAGTTGTAGTGTAAAATCTGAAATTATGTAAATGAGCTTTTTTATTGTTATATTAAAATTCAAAGGTCTATCTTACACTTTGAACAAATCTGTTACACATTTATGATTGATTTTATAACATCACAGGTTGGTCACTTGAAAATATAGTTTCACTGAGGTACAGTTTTTTAAAAGGCTGACATATTTCACTTTATATACAAAAATCATATTTATGGCCAAGCATGGTGGCTCACGCCCGTAATCCCAACACTTTGGGAGGCCAAGTCAGGTGGATCACTTGAGGCCAAGAATTTTTGACCAGCCTGGCCAACGTGGCAAAACCCCATCTCTTCCAAAAATACAAAAATTAGCTGGGTGTGGTGATGCACACCTGTAATCCAAGCTACTCTGGAGGTTGAGACATGAGAATTGCTTGAACCTGGGAGGCGGAGGTTGCAGTGAGCTGAGATTACACCATGGCACTCCAGCTTGGGCGACAGAGTGAGACTCTGTCAAAAAAAAAAAAGTCACATTTATTAATTTCCCTACCAATTCCATCAGAAATGTCTTAAGTTTTAGGATGCTCTCAGGTTCACAATGGCAGATACAATTTATCATTCTAATTTCCATGTGGAAGTCATATTTTATTACTTGCAACAAATATCATGAGTTGTTTTTCTGAGCTGACAGGTTCACATCATTCATTTTGACAAAACACATGCCAAATACACAAGTCTGTATTATTGTAATTTGTTTTTAGTCATTCCTTCAAATAAAAATTGGTTTCCACCAGAAAAGTCGCATAAGTGCCTTTCCTGGAGACCACTGTCATACTCCTACATGCAGCAGGGGTGTCTTACCCATGCTTCCTACTCAGTTACACAAACTACTCGAAAGATGTGAATTCAAATTGATCTCATATAAGTAAAATGTAGAAAAGAAGATACTAAACACTAGGAAGGGAAATGGGGGATATAGGGAGAGAATTGCTAAAAGAAAAAATTATAGCTAGATAGGATTATTAAGCTCTAGAGTTCGATAGCACTGTAGGATAACTATAGTTAAAAATAATATATTATATATTTTCAAACAGCTAGAAGAAAGAATATTGCATATTCCCAAAACAAAGAAATGATAAATGTTTAAAATGAGACATATGCTAATTACCCTGATCTGATCACTATACATTGTGTATATTGAAAGATCACTGTGTACCCCATAAATATATACAATTATTATGTTTCAAGTAATAAGAATAAATGATCTAAAAGATGTGAACTCAGGGTAGAGTCTTAAAATATAATTCATTTTATTCATCAAAGACTTTAAGTAAAATGGGCTACTATGCCCCCCCACCTCCATCTTGTTTTTGAAGTTGCGAGTACATGAAGAAGAATACCACAAAGACTAGTGTGGTTTGATGCCATTGCCCTGATTGTGCTAAGACAGAACTTTTATCTACAACTGCTTTTGCAGTATGAGTGCAAATGTCAACGCAATGAATAAAAAACACAAATAATGTTATAGTTCCGTTATAGAAATAGTTTTTACCTCTTAGATTCACTGAAATGGTCTTGGGGTCTGGGGGCTCCAAAGATCACACTTTGAGAACTACTGTTTTAGATAAATGGTTTCCACCTTTGTTTTTGGCTTGGGGATAATGGACTCCTTTAAGAATTTGATGTGAAAACCATAATGATAATAATAATAGCTGCCATCTATGTAGAGCATCTAATGTGTCAAATATATACTAAGAATCTTGGACATATTATTTTATATAACCTAAACTAGAGAGCCATAAGAGATGTATTATTAGACCCATTTTACAATGAGAAAATTGATGGGCCTGAAAGATTACGTAATGTTCCAGGATCCGCTAGCTTTTAATTTGTGGAGATGAGAATAGGACCCTGGTATTTCAATTACAAAACCCTAGTCATTCTTAACTACTAGGTCAATTCATTTTTAATAGAAATACATAGAGTAGTCCCTACTTATTCATGGTTTTGCTTTCTACAATTTCAGTTACCTGTGGTCAGTCTGAAAATAAGTGAGTACAGTACAATAAGATGTTTTGAGAGAGAGAGAGAACACATTCATCTAACTTTTATTATAGTATAGTGTTATAACAGTTCTATTTTATTATTATTGTTCAGCCTTAATGTATCCATTTTAAAATTAATCAATTTATCAATTAATCAATTTTAAATTTATCATAGCATATGTAGGATTTTATGCTATTTGTAGTTTCAGGCACTCATTGGGGGTCCTGGAACATCTGTGGATAAGGAGGGACTATTGTATTTGAATATAAATTGGAGACGACGCAGGAACCTGAAAAGTCAATTTATATAAATACTTATTTGTTGGAATCTATCTAGATCACTTATACATATTCCAAGTAAGACTTTTTTTGGGGTGGTTTGCCATGAAGCAGCACTATTTACACCTTTTCCTATAGAAAACCCTTGCTTTTGTTCTATCTTTTGATTCCTATTTCTACATTATTTTATATTGTAAAAATTTAGTCTCCCATATCATGGAGAGTCATTTATAAAATTTTTGTAGAAAAGTTGACAACTTCTTTTTTAAAGTCTAGATCCTTTCTTTTTGAAACTGATGGAATTTCAGTGGTTCTATTTTATTCACATGCTCACTTGAGACCCTCATATCACTTTAGATTAATCAGACACAGCTTCCTTTTCCAAAAGGGTGTTATTTTCTTTTAGATGCTACTTCTATGGGAAAAGGACCTTGTTTGATGTCTATGTTGTCTCCTGTGTGACTCCAGATAAGCAAGACATGGCAATGAGGGGGTGTCTCATATACTTTACCCTGCCAAGGACTGATAACCCAATGGAGTGTGTTCATTTCCTACTTCGATTGATTCTTCCCTCTCAGATGACAAGTTCGTGGAATTTGTGGGGACTCTGCTCTAAGAGTGGTAGCCAGGTGCGTTGCTAGTCACCCACATCTAGGCTGAGAGAGAGTAACTAGCCACCAGCATAGGACACACTAGCTGTGTGCATTCTGTGGTTTTCTCAGAGGGCAGACGACGTGGTTGCTGGCTCTGTGTGGTTGCCATTCACACCTACTTCTGGACTTGAACTGGCAAAAAAGGAGTATCTATTGCTATTGAAAACTCATATAACCACTCTTACTGATGATAGGCTTCAACAAATAGTTCCTGGGCACTTACTGCAGGCACAGTGTTAGAAACACGGAAGCAACAGAAGCAAGACAGCAGGTTCTGGCTCTCAGAAAGTCTGTTGTTTATGGGTGAAGTCAGCTGTAAATATATAATTATACACTCAGTTATTGTCTACAAGTAAACACATCATTGGTGTTCTTTTTACTTCTGCTTGGTTATAAGAAAAAATTACTTTAGAAAAGGGAAAAATCTTTCCAAACCACCCAGCTAGTCTCACCCCAGGCCTCTCCTGTGGGCTACTAAGCTGCAGCCACACAAAACACCTTCCTGAACATACCATTCATTCCTTTGCCCCCTTTCTCTTCCAGGAAAGTGACTCCTTCTTTAAGCCCCAGTTCAAGTGTTACCTTATCTGTGGAGCCCTCTTCAACTTTCCAGTGAGAGCAAATTGGTCCCTCTGTTGTGTTTCCTGGAACTTGGAGAAAGCAAAAAGCATGAAGTTTCCTTTCCAGGAGTAGGAATTCAGAGCTCTTGCATTTGAAGTCCAGCTCTGCTACCTCTTGTGTGATAGTGGACTACTTGCTTAAAGTCACCAAGTCTCAATTTCCTCAACTAAGGTATGGAATAGGTTGACTGTGCCCCTTTGTGAAATAACACCAGGAGGCCTAGTGTATAGTAAGCACTCAGGGTTTATGTCTAATAATATCCTAGTGACTGCAATTCATCTCTTAGTAGTGTAATTAGTTGTCTATCTGTCTTCTTCATGAATCTGAGAACGAATATTTAAAACGTAAGTTAGAGCACCTTTCCCTCTGCCCAAACTCCTACAATGGCTCCCTTCTCACTTGGAGTGAAAATGAAAGGCCACAATGACCTACAGTGAGGCTCTAGTTAATCTGTCCCTTTTTACCTCTCTGCTCTTGTCACCTACTACTCTCTGGCTCTCACTCCACTTCAGCCACATGGCTTTCATGTTGTTCTTATAAGTGAACAGCCTCCTGCCTTTGAGGCTTTGCTCTTGCTGTTCCCTTTCCCTGGAATGATCTTTCCTAAGACGTTCTTTGGGTTTACTCCTCTATCTCATTTGCTGTCTTCCCTGTCACCTTTCCCCAGTCACCCACAATTGATGTATTCTCATTTTATTTATTTATTTATTGAGACAGAGTCTCACTCTGTTGCCCAGGCTGGAGTGCAATGGCGCAATCTCGGCTTACTGCAACCTCCACCTCCCGGGTTCAAGGGACTCTCTTGCCTCAGCTTCCTGAGTAGCTGGGATTACAGAAGCCCACTACCATGCGTGGCTAATTTTTTTGTATTTTTAGTAGAGATGGGGTTTCACCATGTTGGCCAGGCTGGTCTCAAACACTTGACCGCAGGTGATCCACCCATCTTGGCCTCCCAGAGTGCTGGGATTACAGGCGTAAGCCCCCATGCCCGGCCTAATTGCTGTATTCTTCTCCCCACACTCCTTAGTTCATTTTCTTACTTTATATTTCTTTATGGCACTTATCGTTGCTGTGTATCTAGTTTACTATCTACTCGCTCTACTTGAATATACAGTCTATTAGGTAGAAGTAGAACATATATAGTGTCTCTTTCTTTTACCACCAAACTCCTGAGCACCTCGATGAGTGCCTGGGGTCTAGTAGGTGCTCAATAGTTACTATTGAAAGAAAAAAGAGGGCTGGGTGCGGTGGCTCATGACTTTACGTAATCCCAGCATTTTGGGAGGCTGAGGTGGGTGGATCACCTGAGGTCAGGAGTTAGAGACCAGCCTGGCCAACATGGTGAAACCCTGTCTCTACTAAAAATACAAAAATTAGGTGGGCATGGTGGTGCAAGCCTGTAATCCCAGCTACCTGGGAGGCTGAGGCAGGAGAGTTTCTTGAACCCCGGAAGCTGGAGGTTGCAGTGAGCCGAGATGACGCCATTGCACTCCAGCCTGGGTGACAGAGAGAGACTCTGGCTCAAAAATAAAGGAAGAAAGAGAAAATAAATTGCCTCCCCTACCCCTTGGAGTCTGTGCATAGTTTGGTTTAGAGGAAATACTGAGTAAACACTAATTTAGGTTTAAAAAATTCCTTGTGGTAGGTATTTGAATTTACAGATTATCTCATCAGTTTGTATCTTTAAAAGAGACTAGGAAGGATGATTTCTTGTGTGAACAAGTTTTTGTATTCCATTGAGCTGTGGATTTTCAGTGCTTGTATTGGGGTCATTTTTAGAAACCCCTTATGAAAGTGTTTATTATTTAGTGCTTTCCTCCCACAGCACTCACCTCACAGCTGGAAAGTGTATAAAATGTTATTTATTTTGCAGTGAGAGGGGTGTGTGTATGTGTGTGTTTTCTCCTGTGTCTGGAAGCTTGAAAGAAGGTAGAACTTATCTTTGCACTTGTGAAATTTTTATTTGGGCTTTTGAATCATAAAAATTTTTCATTAAGAGGTTTAGATCATCCATGACTAGTTTTTACTCTAAAAGGCAGTGTCATATTTACAAGGGCTTAGAAGGAATAATTCTAGTGCAAGGTCGGAATGCAGCCAGCATTTATAGTAATTGGCTTTCCCATCATTCCATGGCTATTACGATTTAATAATTAAGTCTACAGCCAGGTTGCAGGGTCATTCTTTCTCATTTGTTCAATATTTTAAAATATAAATTATGTGATGTTATCTGAAAAAAAATTCACCCTCCTAATTTTATTCTTTTGGAATGTGTCTTTCAGTCTTGAAAATATCAGTGTTTATCCTAAATATATTAGTAAAAACCTTTTGTTCAGGTTACAGGTGATGTGTATGCATATATACAAATACACTGCCAGAAAAGACAACTACATATGTACATAAATATAACATTTCTTTGATAGCAGGGGAAGTGAATAAGCAGAGTATTAGTGATGCTCAGATATCAGTTACTCAGAGAAGTACATGTTACAGATTTCTAATAATTAATTTTTTAAATGGCCACAGAGCCAACAATTTGTGAAGTGGCCAGATTAATTTTTATTATGTTTTGTTGCAATATGATTTTTTTGCTTGATCACTGAAAAGGAAAAAAAAAACAAATCTCTTTTACTGATTCAATAGTGTAACACCAAATGTAAAATAAGCCACTAAACATAAGGTATAAGTCTGTGGGTGGGAAATTGCAAAATTTAAATGACTTTATTATCAAAGGAAAAGGCAAGAAGAATAGAAAAGAGTTCAGTTCAGTTTAGTATGGGGTATTTGCATATGTGAGTGTTCTGTGCTCACTTGCAGGTCATTGTGAGTTGTTTTTTGTTTGTTTGTTTGTTTTTTCACTGTTTGCTTTTATTGGGAAACGGACACAGGGCATATCAAGGGGTGGGAAGCCAGTTGATGCCTTCAGGCAAGACCCACAACAACTGCAGCCAGAATCGGGAACACCTCCATGGCCAGGCCTCAGCCCAACACCACAAGGGTATGGGCAGAAGAGGTCCACCTTTCCGTATTGTGGTCACCAGCCTTTTCCAGGAAAATCAGTGGCCCCATAGTGAGGTATGCTTCTTTTGGTCTTGCGCCTGCAGTTGCTAGAAGCAGATTTGTGCCACAGTGGGGTGCCTTCTGGAATGACCTAGAATGCCACAGTCACCCTATTAAGGTGATATTCACAGATGTCAGCAGTGTCTTCTACTGGGGACCAGCTATTGGAAAACTTGCTGAAGGAACAGGCTTTGTTTAGTTGATCTGGGACTTGGTCAACCAGATTGACCTTCAGATAACAGGTGATATATATTGTGTTTCTGGAGACATTAGCAAAGTGGAAGACATTCACTGTGAATGGGAAAGCCTGGTAAAATAGGGCTTTGAAGGCAGAAGAGGCATCCAAGAGACCATCCACAAGACAGCTGTGGAAGTCAAGGGTGGTGTGGAGAGGCACTTTCTCCTCTGTACTGACACTGTGGTGGTGAAAATGGCTCATGATTTTCTGAGGAGCAGGCTCTTTAGCTCAGGCCTGTCTGCTCAGCCTGAAAAGGAACCGTGTCATGTATAAAAAGTGACTTTCTCACCAGGGCTGAGGCCATGTCTGTGTACTCAGAACCAATTTAGCATGTAAGAAAAGATGAGAGAGAGAGAGAGAGAATCTTTGTAAACCTTACATGTATATTTTATTTTCTCTTAATAATTTTATCATCACTTAGTGACAAGAAAATATATTCGAGAGAAAATGACCATCCCTTTTAGTAGCCTTGAAACTATTTACAAATTGCCCTCTCTGGGTCTCAATTTCTTTATTTGTAAAATGAAAAATGTTAAGGTGATTATGAAGATTAAATGATTTCATAAATGTAAAACATAACTATGCCTGATTTATAGTATGTGCTTCAATGAGTATTAGCCATTTTATTGTCAGAGTGGTTGTCATTTTCTAGCCAATGAGTTTGTTCTGCAATTCATTGTCATAAGTAGTGACATTAAATTTGACGGCCAGGTGTGGTGGCTTATGCCTGTAATCCCAGCACTTTGGGAGGCCGAGGTGGGCAGATCACGAGGTCAGGAGATTGAGACCATCCTGGCGAACACGGTGAAACCCCGTCTCTACTAAAAATACAAAAAAAAATTAGCCGGG
Source organism: Homo sapiens (assembly GCF_000001405.40). Classification (NCBI taxonomy): domain Eukaryota; kingdom Metazoa; phylum Chordata; class Mammalia; order Primates; family Hominidae; genus Homo; species Homo sapiens. The sequence continues at coordinate 83,876,442 of NC_000005.10, forward strand.
CATGGTGGCGGGTGCCTATAGTCCCAGCTACTCAGGAGGCTGAGGCAGGAGAATGGCATGAACCCGGGGGCTGGAGCTTGCAGTGAGCGGAGATCATGCCACCGCACTCCAGCCTGGGCAACAGAGTGAGACTCCCTCTCAAAAAAAAAAAAAAAATATCTGGGCATGGTGTCATGCACCTGTAATCCCAGCTACTTGGGATGCTGAGGCAGGAGAGTCGCTTGAATCCCAGAGGCAGAGGTTGCAGTGATCCAAGATCCCACCACTGCACTCCAGCCCGGGTGACAGAGTGAGACTCTGTCTCAAAAACAAACAAACAAACAACACAAAGAAAAGTTTGACCAAATCTCTCAAGGGAACCATATTTTGGAGATAAGATAATGTATATGCTACTGTACTCAAATCCAGCTCTGTAGCATTTATATTTGGAGTCACTACTGTTGCACGCAGTAAGCACATTTAAGATCAAGGAAACACTTTATTATTCACTGGAAGAACTTCAGATATTTCCTATAAATAAATGGTTCTCAAATTTCACTGTGCAACAAATAGTTTATTTCTAGAGCTTTTGGTTTTAGGTTTCAGATTGAAATTGGTGAAGGCTAGATCCTTGGAAGCATTGAAAGAGAAGCAGGGACAGGTAGGAGACTGCAAAAGATGACAGTGATTTTGACTAAATGGCATTCTTTACACTTTCAACGTTACATTTGAGAAACCATATTAAATTTACTTTCCATTTTATAGCTACTTTGAAAAATCTTACAGAGGTTTCTTCTTGAACCCATCTTATGAGTTACACGGCCACCATTTCTAGCCTTGTGGATCAGTACAAAACATTAGTAATAAGAATGATTCACTTGGTGTATTTCTTTATAAAAATGTTGAGGGATGTTTTGCTTTACTAATCTCATTTCTCTTGCTCTCATAGAATTTGAGAATCACACATTGACTAACAAGTCAGATTTAGAATGTGATGTGAGAGCATGTACAATACTCAGGATGTGAATGAAAATTATCTTTCTAATAGTTATTTTATAAGCTGCTTTGGCATATAAGAACATTATTAAGAACAGCAAGATCTCAGTTCTAAAGCTACATTTTTCTTTTTTAAATTCAGGATTCTGAATTCTGGATGAGTACTTTTCAAGGTGAATGGTTGCAATCTCAAGGTGTGTTGCAATGGTCTAATTTCTTGAAAATTAAAAAATCCTCCAACTACAGAAATTCAATAAACTTTGGAACACTTGAAATGAGCAATTGGTGAGTGGCAATAGGATCTATCCAATGAATTGTAGGCAATACCCACAGACTGTCTCTTCGTATCCTAAGTTGCTATTTTGCATGTTTTAAAAAGTGGACATTGATACAAGCTACAAATGGAGGCCTTTCATATTCAAGCATGAATTTGCCCATTTAACATTATAGACCTTTCCAATAAGGGTATGTACAGTTTCCATCACACCTGTAACTAAATTTGACCTTGTTTTGTAAACATATCACCTTGTTGTATGTATGCATTTGAAAACACTCATTTTAATTTGAAATATATAATTCAGTATATTTAGCTAAACTTTAATACATAGTGACTCAAGAGATACTCTCACAAATACCTCAAGCAGGAGGCCATTTGTAAGACATCCAAAGACAAGTGACCACAGGCATGAGGCCTGGGCAGGGGATTTTGAAATAGCAGCCAAAGTAAACTGTATCTTGTTAAATGAGCATGTTATTTAGAAACAAAGTTGCCCTATTGAGAAGTGTACTTTTGAAATGTTTCCAACTTTGGGGTGACATTAAGCAAAATAAGAGTTAAAATGGAGTCCTTCAACCTTGTACTTTGTTAGAAGTTAGGCATCAGGCTCCTCAGCGGAGATACCATTTTAGGATTGGGATGGAGAAGCAGCTGAAGAGAAAGAAAAGCACTTTGCTAAGACAGGATATGCCTATGTACTCTGTCTCCACAGCTGCATCCTCAGAGAGGATAAATGAGAGCATATTCTCTCATTAATCAACCAAGAGGGATCACACACACAGAGAAAGGATCCAATCAAGTTGTGCGGATGTTTTGGTCCGTAAGTGCAATCACTAATTGCCTGGATATGTGCCTGCAATTCTTAGAGTTGGCCCAGGGCTGCTCTTGTTGGGAATCTAGTCAGACTTGCAAGATCCAGCTTCCCAAATCCTGTCGATAGATAGCTAGAGCTTCCGATCTTGACACGCTCAGCTATCTCTTGCTAGATTTTCCGGAAAGGAAGTGGCAACCGGATTTTAAGCAGCTTAGAAACTTAATGGCTGAGGAGATAGGGCTGGGAATGAAATGGAATCCCACGTCTTTCAGAACAGCCTCACTTATTTAATTTGGTTTATCTCTGTATTTTTTTCTTTACATCATGTGTAGCTTTTACTTATAAAGAAACCATGTTGAAGACTCTACATTTAACGAATGTCAATGAGACCGTTCATGTCTGCTTTAAGCTAAGTTCCTCATGAGCCTGAGAGAAAAGCTATTTCCAGTTTGGAATGAGTTATAAGGCGAAGCTGTGCAGTGGGATCTAGACAGCAATTCTTCACAGCAAGATTTTATTATTTAAAGACACACTGAGAGAAGCTTTGATTTGTTCTGCTGTAAGGGGCCCTAGATTCAGTCTCTGCTCTCACCCTTTGCTTTCCCTTAGAGGAGATGGAGGCTGCAAAGGGTCAATAACTCGCAGATTACTCTGTGGTAGATCCCAAACTAGTTCCCTAGTGTTTTGGTTCTCACCACAGCGCTTCAGTTTGAAGTGAATTTCCAGATAATTCATATTCAAATGTAAGAACCAAACACATTCTGAAATAAAAGATAATTTTTCTCACAGAACATTTTGCTTGCTTTACCTCTATTAGAATAGTCCATTCTTAATTATTCGCAATGTATATTTTAAAAGACGAATCCACATCTACCATGAAGTGATGGAAAGAATCTATAATGTATTAGCTATACTTTGAATTTTACTTCCGGTAGGCACATTATAGGAAGGTGGGTTTGGTTGCAGATTGAAAAGAGACAAGACTGTTTTATTAAAAGCTTTGCCTTTTTGCATGTATGTATTTCTCTTCAGCTCCCTAAAAACGACAAAATTTGTTCTTATATCCTCCAGGTTATGTGGACAAGTGTCGGGAGGTGGGATTGGGTGTCCATCCCTTGGTCAAGCTGTGTAGCCTCCACATAGGCATAGTATATTTTGCTGAGACTTTCAAAGATGCATCTGGAGAGAAGGTACACCCAAAAGACTAAATTAGAAGATGGTAACTGATAGGGTTTGGATCTGTATCCCCATGAAATCTCATGTTGAATTGTAATCCCCAGTGTTGGAGTTGGGGCCTGGTGAGAGGTGATTGGATCATGGGGCTGGAGTTCTCATGAATGGATTAGCATCATTCCCTACGTGCTGTTCTGGTGATAGTGAGTGAGTGAGTGATTGTGAGATCTGGTTGTTTAACCAGATCTCTCTCTCTCTTCCTCCTGTTCCAGCCATATGAGGTGCTCGCTCCCACTATACCTTCCACCATGACTATAGGTTTTCTGAGGCCTCCCCAGAAGGTGAGCAGATGCAAACTGCTGTGCTTCCTGTGCAGCCTGTGGAACCCTGAGCCAATTAAACCCCTTTTCTTTATAAATTACCCAGCCTCTGGTATTTCTGTATGGCAATGCAAGAACGGACTACTACAGTAATAGAGATGTTAAAAACATTTGTAAAAGAGGGACTGTATGCATAACAGAAAACAAGGGAGAGATTCTGCCTTTGCAGATTTGAATGCAGCAGCCAGGTTTTCCTCAACAGATTTTGACGTCATGGAATAGTTTTAGTTTTTATACATCTTGTTTGTTTTGGAAGTTTCTACAAATTTTACCTTCTTGAAAACCATAATTTTTCTTCAAGAATGTAATCTTTGTGACTTAAGAAATTATTGTATATTGAACCCAGGTTTAATAGAGCCTCAGAAAAAAAAAAAAAGAAAAGAAAAAAAAGAAAAAGAAAAAAGACAGTGTGAGCCATACAGCAAGTGGGAATCAGTCCGAATGCTCTTCTTGTCAATAGAGGTAAAAGGCCCAATCAATAGTAGGACAAAGAGGCTGAATGGCTGTCATTGGCAATTTAATACCATTCCATTCCACCTCTTCTTTAGACCTCTCTCTCCTTTACTGTCAGCCATATCACTTTGCAAATTAGGCTTTTTGAGATTTTTAGGATGGCATTGCTGGTGGTAAATCCATGCAACCAAAAGCCACGTGTACCCTAAAAGCTACTGAAATAAAAAAAATTAAGAAAAAATATGTTAATTTAAAAAAGGAAATAAGCATGTTAGGTAGTTTTGGCAGGAAGGACAAAAATTTTGGGGTGGGGCTAGAGTAGGGCTGGGATGTACGATCAGAATGGGGCAGAGATGAGCAGGACTAACTCACAGAAACTCAAGGAGAGAGAAGGTTGCCACTCAGTCAGAAAGTGTATTTTGCATGAAACTCTGGATTTGAAGAGGAAAGAATATCTTTATGACTTCTCTTTGTGTGTGTGTGTGTCTCTATGATCAAAACTTTAGTCATAATAGCTTTTGACTCTCTTAAAATTAAAATAGACATTTCTTGTGTTTAAAAATAAATGCACATTCATTGAAAAAAATACTGAAAATACAGAAAAGTGAAAAAAGATAACTCCTATAATTCTATAGAAATAAATACTGTTAACATTTTAAAATCTTCTTTCCTGCCCAGTAGTCACAGAAATATATTTTCAGAGCCACACCTTAGTGGTGGGATGGTAGAAGAGGCCTCCCAACAGTTCAGACTCTCAGGGATCCACTGTCTGTGGAGAATTTAAGAGCAATAATAAAACCATTAGTGAATTTGCTTTTATTAAACACCATAAGCCTACAATTCTAAGTATCAGTAATAAAATATTACTATCCTCCAAGGAGACACACTTCCAAAGTCTTGCCCTTGGTATGCTACTTTATTTTTGTTTTGACAAATCAGATCATTTTGTAAATATTTTTTCAGTATGAAATGAATCCTGAACATTTTCATTTGTCACTAATCAATATGCTTTTATATTACAAATTTTACATTTGCTTATCATGTTATCGTATTAAGCAAATTTTATGTTTAAGCAAGATATACAATATTTACAATATAAGCAAATTTTACATTTGCTAATCATTTATTTAAACAATTCCCTATTTTTAGTTATTTAGGCTGTTTCTTGTTTTTCTCTTTTACACTTGATTATTTGTACTTACGAATGGAACTATTAAGTCAAACTGTATGGAAAAAATATAAGGCTTTTAATACATAGAAAATTTCACTGTAGAAAATTATTACTACAGGCAATCCATCCAGCAATGTGAGAGAGCAGACATTTCTCAACAGCAGTGCCAACATTAGAATTTATCTTAAAACAAAACAACACAAAAACATACAAACAAAAGACTTGGGCAATTTGACAAAGCAATTATTGTATCTGATTATTGTTTTAATTTACATTGCTTTGACTAGAAGTGGGGCTGAGCACTTTTTTGTATGTACCATTTTTATTTCTGTTCTTATAGTCAGCCTCTTTACGTCTTTTAACAATCTTTTCTCTCTTTTTAACTGGAGTGCATGTGTGTAGTCATACAAATCTTTGTATGTTAAATGTACTGTTACCTTCTGTTTGTTATATCCTTGAGATACTTTTAGGAAGCTTATCATTTGCCTACAGATTCTACTGATTTTGCTTCTGAAACTTTGAGTTAAAAATAAATCTTTGAATTTAATGTTATTCTATCCTATCTTTAATAGTTTCCAAAAATCAACAGTGTAATTACATTCCTTCACGTCTTCTTCTAGCATTTTCTTCTTTAAATTCAATGTTACACTTAATTGGGAATATATCTTTGAGTGTGAAATAGTGAGTCCGTTAAGACACTTTATTGAATATCAGTCCATCCTCTCCTCTCTGATGTGAAATAACATTTTCATATATATATATGCATAGTTGGGTTTTGGAGCTTTGATTTATATTCCACATATTCTATATTTATGACAGCACCATTATATTTTAAGAATTGTTCTTCTATATTTCTATATCAAGCACAGTATATTTCCCTCAATAATATATGTATAAAATATTTTCTTGTATTTTTGTCAATCATTTATTCTTCTAGACATACTGGAAAATCATACCAAAAAATCCAAAAAAGAATTCCTAAGATTTTTATTAGAATTACACCAGTTTCTAAATTTATTGTGTTATAATTTCAACATTAAATGATTTCTATTTTAATTTAATGAGGTTTTTCCCATAAGTACTTTATAAATGCTTTAAAAATACAGTTTTTATAGAATTAGCAAATAGTTTTTCTATTTTTTAAAAAGCTAGAGAGATGCACTAGAGATATATTGGTCTTCCCCATAAATGGATTTTGAAAATTTCTTGTATTTCTGACTGTTTAACTACATTTATGTTGATATTTTATTATGGGGCACATAAAGGTCAATGAGTCTTGTATATTTATTGAAAACTCTACCTATTAACAATATAGAATAATGAATTTCTGATGTGATGTTTTTCCCTGGATTTGTTTCTTCTTAGGCTGATACTTACTATCACTGTTTTCTTTTATTTACATTTTTTCTGATCAGTTTTTTGCTCATTATTTTACTTCAAATCTTTTACCTAATTTTATTTTAGATACGTCTTATACAAACAGCATTTTTATAATCGAGGAAAATAGTATAATTTAAGATCCAAATTGACTTAAACAGCATCTGTCTTGAGGAACTAGGGGAAGATATGGTAACAGGTGGTAGCATAATTTATATTCCTGAAAAAAGAAAATATCTAGCTCACTTGCATTTACATAATTTTATAGAAGAGGGAAAATGAATTTTGAAATTCCAAAGCCTATTCTTCTGGGCCTCTAAAAGATGAGACCAAGAGTACAAGGGTTGTTTGAATAGTGATATTATTGACTTTGGAAGAGCAAAGATAGGATGGAAGCCTATTTGTGGCTCAAAAGCTAGATAAACTACTCTTCTAAGAAAGGAGGGTTGTTGAGTTTTCTACAAGCACAATGGGTAAGGAGTTCTTGGAATTCTGAGAGGGCTGGAGATTGGCAGGGAGTTTTGATGAAAGAAGGACATACAACAGGGTGACACAGCACCTTCCACGGTACCCAAGCTTCGGTGATGACTGCAACCCCTACCACTGCTTGTCTGTGAGGATGGGAATGGGGAAATTCAGGAAAAGAACAAGAGCAGAAGATGGAGAGGCTGGAGGTCAGATGAAAGTGAAATTCTGAGTTCAGAAATGAAAAGACTGTGAGCCCAGCAGTAACTATAGGTATATACCATGCCAGAGCATTGAGCTTGTAAAATATGGGATAATACAAAGAGTGTTTGTTTGTTTTAATTTTATAGGAGAGTGTTATTTTGTAATCTCACCTACATTTGAATTACATATATTTGGGATTTTTTTTGTTTGTTTGTCTAACTTAGCCTGGCATTCTTTACGTTTTAATAGGAAGCATAATCTGCTTATATTAATCACCATATCTGATATATTTGGGCTTCTTACCATCCCATTGTTTTCTATGGTTACTTGTTATTTTACCCTACCCTTTTCACTTCCATGATTTGGAAGCTACATGTGCTGTATATTTTTAATAGTGGTTACATTTGACATTTAAAAATATTTGGACTTACTGTTTTTGCTTAATATTCAATGTGAAGAGTGAAGCTGTAATTAGAAGTTAGGTTAGATGAAAATTAAGCCTTACTTTATTTTCCTTCTCCTCTGCCTTGCCACTTCTTAGTGTATTATTAACAATCACTTTTCATTCTTGCTCTGTTGTGATTCTTATTTATCCCTTTGTGAGTTGAAACAATATCTAATCGTTTTCAGAAAGGGTACATGAATTTCTTTTTTGACCACTTATGACTAAAATGCCTTTCTATTGCTTTTTCACATGAGCAGAATCAAAGATGAAGAAATAAATCTTGGGTTTAACTTTTCTTTTTCCTTCTCAAAACTCCATAGCTATGGCTTGATTGTTTACTGGCATCAGTGTTGGGAAGGAGATATCTAAATCAAACTTGAATTTTGTGTTCGTTTGAAAGTGATCTGCTTTTCTATGTGGTAATTGGATGCCTCCCAGCCCCCTATGAAATGTAAGGGTCATAACTAGGATATGTTAAATATTGTCACTTTTCATTATTTACATTTTATATTTGCCAAATCTCTTTGATAAAGATTTAGGTCTTCAGCTTAAACATTTTTTTAAAATAAATTTTTAAAATTAATTTTGTGATTTCTTAAAAATTGTTTTTCTTTTTCCTGGAATGCCTAGTATAGGTTGAATTCTCTGAGTCTTCCACATCTAACATATTTCACTGCATTATATTCATCTATTAGTCTTACTTGTTTGAGTTCTGGGTTGATTTCCTGAGTTTACATTCTACTACAGTAAAATAATCTTAGGCAGAATCCAATCTACTCTTCATTCTCTTTATCAGAGCTCAGAGTGCAGGTAATAAGGGGGTGCATTGTCTGAAGAGACTTTAAAAACAATAATAAACCCAACTAAAATCAGTTTGCTTTTTATTATCATCATGTGCTAACAATTGTAATAATGGTGACTTAAGGTATAGCTTGAGTCTTCAATCCCGCATTTCAATAGTGATTGTAAAAATTAATAATCGATCTATAGTTATTTGTCAGTTTTCCTATGTGATCACCTGGAGTTTTTATTTGTGTTTAAAATAGAAAGGAGTGAAACAGAGTGAGAATGGCAATGCAATCATATTTTTCTAGTAAGCACAAAATTTAGTTCATGAACAAAATATTTTCCTGCATTTAAATATTTTTTAAAATAAAACTTTATTCCATTTAATGTTAACTGTTTTAAAACTAAAAAGAATAAGTAAAATAATGATTATTACTGATTATTACATGATTATTATTTTTGCCATATAGAGAAAGGTGGTTTAAAAATTATCTACTCTGGTTATCAAATGTGTTAGGTATGCCACTGCCAACTATGATGATAGCTTCTTGTAGCTGCTCATTCCATGAAGAAGTTTTATCAATTAAGTTTTCTCTTTGGGACAGCAATCTGTTCTTCAAGAAAGTCCCCATTTGCTGATATTTCTTTCTCTGATTGCTGACTGTAGAATAGAAACTCCATAAACTGAGATGCTGCTTGGCGTGGCCATCTGGTGTACCCCGACCTCCTTTCTCTCCCTGTGCCCCCAACTCTGTGTGAATGGAACCATGTGGGATTTGTTCAAATTCTCCCACACTTATTTCCTAGGTAAATTCAATTTTTGCATGTCTCTAGGTCTCTCTTAGTCCAGTCCTGTCTGGACTCTATCTTGAAGAAATTCACCAAAGCTTCTGATTTTTGATGGCATCTTTTCTAATTTCCAGATGGGTGGAAGTTTTTCCCTATTTTTAATTTTTATTTCCATAGACCTTCCATACCTCGAGAGGGTAGTGGGAAAACATCTTTGCTCATGTCACTATTTTACCCCCAATTCTCTTCTTATTGTTTTAAATACCCCTAATTCTCCCATTAGATTCATTTCTGGAAGAGGTGTTAACAAACAAGGTACGTGTGTGTGTGAAAGTGTATGTGCACGTGCAGCGTGTGTGGGTATTAATTTTAAAGACTGCAGCTGTTCAAAGGAAGCACTTGAGTAATCCTATAATTATAGTGTACTGAATAGTTTTAATGAATTCATGCAATTTAGATTTTCTTTCTTTTAATAAAATTCATGTAGGAGTCTGAATAAGGGTACTGTTATGACAGATTATTGACTTAGAATTTTTTTAAGTCAAAACATGCTTGTATTCATCAAAGAGGATACCCAGGAAACAGCTTTAACCAATTCAGGAAATATAACTTTTATGATGCCAGAGAGAACACCCACAGTAGCTTGTAGAGGTAGCAGAACAGGTTAAGAATTATTGTTTTGAAGCTGCAGGTTCAGAATCTGTTTAGGGAATTGTGGTATACCTAGGACTTTAAAACTCTTTATTTCTAGTCTATATTTTTCAGAGTTGATGTTTTTCTACTCGTAGATTTATCCAATGTAATGTAACTTTGGTAAAATTGATTCTATGCAATGTATGTGACTGATACAATGCAGCTGAATCCCTGAATCCCTGGCCTTTAAGGCATTACCAGCAAGCCAGTAATTTTGGCTGCAAGTACAGCAAGGATGTCCAACTTCTGGGAAAGATCAGAGGGATTTAGATAGTTCAGTACTGAAATAAGAACCAAGGGTTAATAGGTAAAATCCTGTTACTGACATAGTATAATTTTCTAAAATTAATAATTAATTTATTTGAAAAATTAATATTTATGGTGTTAAAGAGGTAAGTACATAAAGAAGGGAGAAGGAAGGCTATTTAATAAGTGCAAAATTTTTAAATAATAATAGTAACTTACAGGACAAAAACAAATCATTTGTGCAGGTGGGGGCAAGGAGATATTTCAAATTCTAGCTTCCTCTGCATCTCTGGCTTATGTTCTGAGAGTATGTCTCTCAAATCCACTTCACCACCTCCTATGCACATCCTTTGCCCTATCTCCAGTGAACGGTGCACCATTTCCTGAAAACAATTTTCATAGCATTCTTCCTTTGTATATATTAATCTTTCTGCTTGGAATGTCTTTCCCATTTTTAATTGCCTTGAAAATTTCTACTTATGTATCAGGGTCCAGTTTGCATGTCCCTTATTCTATAAAATTTTCTTACCAACTATAAGTACACAGTGGAAGTTACTATGATCCCTGTGCCCACAATAAGCCATTACCTTCACCACTTCCAGTATTTTGTTCCTACTAGCTTCTGCTATATTGTTTGTAATGTGTGCCTTTTTCATGTCCCTCTCCGCTGGTTTTCATGCTCCTTGAGAACTGTATTTCAGTATCTTAAACAGTGTTTGCTATTTTGTAGAAGCTCAAATAAGTTAAACAAATGAAGTGAATAAAACAATTCTATAATATTAGATTCACCTTCATAACATAGACAAAGTAAGTTGTCTAAGAAAGATGGATGTGTTAATATAACTGCATTTATTTAACTCAGGAATAAAGAAACATTAAGAGTGCTATAGTACGTTTGGAAGGTGGGCTTTCTAGAACATTGGACTATTAGAGATACAGATAACATTTAGGGGGAAATAAGGCACTTGACAATGCTTTTTCCTTGTAGATGAGAAAACTCATTTATGTTAAATTTGGATCGGGAACAAGGATGTTTGTTAATAGTCTCTTCAAAAGAAGTATATAGAACATGGCTGCAAGTTTTTCTGGATTGGTGATGAAAGACGGAATGTAAAAGAGTACTGGTATAGCAAGTATTTTTCTTCTTTCTTAACGCTGGCAGGATCTCAAAGGCAAAGAGTATCCTGAGAAACTGAGTAGAGGAAACAGAAAACTCACCCTAAAGTTATGTCGTTCCAGCAGCATATTCTATAACACCACCTACAAGTGATTCATTTGGTATCCATGACTGAATAAATTAAGAATTTATAGCAGGTGTACATGTATGAGCTTTCTCTGCCATCTGTGATCCACCTGCAATGCTGAAAATTATTTATATAGGATTGCATTGGTCATTTTCATCAGCACTGCTCTTACCAAAGACTGTACAATGTGGAAGGTCTTTGATTTCAAAGAAAAGCTCTTCAGACCCCCAGTAAAGTATTAATGGAAATTAGGTTAATGTGTATTTAATGTGGATTTGTAAATGTGTCCACTTTTAGGGTATTCACAAACATGTGTAGCTTGCTTAAGATTATCTGATAGTTAACCTATGACCTAGTTGATCATATCTGCACCTGAACTCAACCTCTTTATGGTTTTGCCCTTTCTGCTTTGAATGCTAGCTCCCATTTCTAAAATTGGTAGAAATGTAAGTGGTGTATTTCAGATTCTGTCTCTGCCTTGGAAAACTGTGGCTCTAGTAGCTGATTACAGGAAGCTTATTAACCATTGTGCTAAGGCACATTTGTGTGCCTGAAATGGCATGGATGAGACATTGACCTTTTCAATCCCCAGAGTGGCCAGAAGTAAGCCCTATGATGGTATCTCTGACTACAAGCAGCCTCATACTTTCATCTGAGTCTACTGTTTAAATGCAATTCTTCTTTTATGTGTGCCATGATGTGAAAAGCTTGGAAAGCACTGAATTGTAGCATGTTGTTACTGAAACCCATGAGATGTATCTGTAAGAGAATTACAGGGACATTGAGAAGATCATAGCACGGTGGCCAGGAGCTTGGACTTGAAGACATGCTGCCTGAGTTTGAATCCTTGGTCTCTTCTTTACTAATTGGACAACACTGGATGAATACTCAGCTTCTCTATTCCTTACTGTTCTTAACTGCAAAATGGAGATAATAACAGAAGCTAGCCTATAGGATTGAGAAGATTGATTAAATTAATGCAGCTAGCCAGAGGTCTTAGAACATGCCTGACATACAGTAAAGGCTATGAAAGTGTTTACTATTATGATTGACTTTCTTGGTTAAGAATATGTTTAATTAAATATCATATAGTTGAAAAGAACATTTGTCTCTAGCACTTAGATTGCCATCATAGAGATGTTTTCATCTGTAAGAACTATGAGCAAGCTCTCTATGTTCTTAGTTATTCGGGTAAAATGTATAGTGCTAAGGACTTCTTTTCAAATTCTCATTTTATTGATATCAATCTGTAAGCAGAAGCTTCAAAGTCTAGATAAGTTTTATAAAAATTAAAATATTTTTTTCTTGGGCCAAATCATCTGTGACTTAAATAGATTCATGATAGAAAAACAAAACAAAATAAAACAAAACGGGTGAATTGTAATAGTTTGTAAGCAGATCATTCAGTTCACCATAATGTTCCACTAGGGAAAAAACTTGGGGAGCAAACTGACACTGACAGCTCCATCATTCCTATGAGGGTAGTCAGGTGATGGTACAGGGCGTCTGCTTAGGAAAAGAACATGGAAATGGGTTCCAGAACTTAAGTTGGTTTTATATGTGGGCCTGAGAGTGGACACCCCTGCTACTTAAAAGCCGAGGTCATGCCCTTGACAGGACATTTTCTCATCGAAACAGTCTCCTATACCAAGCAACATTTTTAGTAAGACTTTAGGACTTATCTTTGATAGATTAATATGAGCTAGAGGTCCCAAATGGATATAAAATTATGATTGAATTGACTCAAACTATAAAATTTCATATTTGAAAATGTGTGAAATGTGATGATTATGACTCTTTTTTGAACTATGTGTGGCACGTGTGTAACTTTTTGATTTGTAGTTAAAGCTGACAAGACTTTAATCAATAGCATCTTTATTAGTGGTACCCAAAGAATTGTTATACAAATTGATACCATTAGGGATCTTTCTTTCTACATATGACATTATATTTAAAGGATACAAACAAATATTTTTTTCATCTCATACTGTTAATTCAATGCTTCAGTTCATTTCAGTCCAACACACATCGGATAAATGCTCCCTCCCTGAAAATTCTCTACCCGTTAACTAACATTGTGATCAAGTCATAAATTAATCAGGCAGTTTATTCACCCCACTGCTGCAGTCATTCTCCAGTAGCAACTTGGACGCTTCAGAGAGTAAGTTGACTATGGAAGTGCACAAAATGGCATCTTAATGACCTGAAAGAGCTAATATAGTTCTGTAAGTGCCTAGCTAAATATCACAGAGTGACTTGGACGCTGGGGAGCGAATGGCTCATTATTCCACTCTGCTGAGCTAAATCATTTGGTTCTCTCTATTTGCTGTTGGCATTTCTCTTTTCCTTTCTCTGCTCATGCATAAAGGATATTGATTTAAATAAAAGATACTGTAAACATGCACTTTGTTAGGGAAGTCTGACTATGCAAGTATAATTTCAAAGGTCAGAGTTCTCCCCATGCTTGATTTACATTAATTTGTGCTTGAAGAAAATGTCTACTTGAGTAAATAAATTTTTAAAAAATTTGATTCACATATTGTTCTGTGTTCTTTTATCATGTTCTCCCAGAAGTGATCAAAGAGGAAAATCATATTTACTGGAAAACCTCATACTTGGAATCAGCTCAATATAGTACAATAGATTAAACCTCTGGGAAAAATAAGGAGCCTGAAATTTAAGTTTGTCTGAAAGAATCTGGAACTCTTCCTAAAATGTCTTGCCACAGTGAAGTAAACCGCTTTTATTTTTAAAGATTATTTTACGGCTTTCTAGGACAACACACTTTTTTAGTTCCACAAGAAATGTTAAAGGTGTATCTTTACTGACATGCGAAAACTGACAAAAATAAAAATAAAATGATATAAATATGGCCTGTATATTGCAAAAATGCCAAATAATGTAATGCATTTTACTCCAACAAAAATTGCCTTTCAATGCCATTGTTTTTGCACATAAATTCACTTTTCAGGGCTGATTTGCTCATATTAAAAAGTTCTGCCATCAATAAGATTAATAAACATTAGCTTAGAGGGCTGTTCCTCCATTTTCAATTGTTTATTTAGCATTTTATTACTTTAGTTACTCTGTAGAGCCAAAAGATAAATGTGAATTAAATCTTTGTAAGCTAATGACCAAATATAGTTGACAACAGTGACATAAGCACACAATTTATTAATTAGGCAGTATCATATATACATATTTTTAATCTGGGTGGGTTTTTTTTTTTTGGTTTGTGTGTTTTTGCCAGACAGATTTGTTTCCAATTTACAGCTTTATGTTTTATTAGATAAATTGTGAAATGGGGATAATCATTTCTACCTGAAAAATTGTTGGGAAAATTACTGATAATAATGGTGACCAGTCAGTGATCATTTTATTGTGCTCACTCTTCCTGCAACATGCTAAGTACCACATTGTTTTGTTTTAACCTTATGACAAAACTTCGAAGTAGATAGCAAGATTGTTATACTTACAGATGAAAAATTGAAGTCAAGTGATGTAATATTCAAGACCACATCGCTATGAAATTGCAGAACCAGGAAGGGAATTTTCCCAGTCTGACTCTCAAAAGAAAAAGAAAAAGGAAAAAGAAAAAAGAGCTTAACCACTGAATTGAGTTGTTGCTAACTCTGGCTGTGAGTAATGTTTTTAAAGAACATAGACTGTTGCCTGGACTCTGATCTGATAGGAGCTCAGTAATTAGTAGCTATAATTAAACATCATTATTGTTTTAATATTTAATAAAAGTCACCTTAATTATTGAGAATTTAAAATTATTGCTGGAATTAGTGAGGTTTTACTTGTCTTGGTAATTGTAATTCTAGACCTACCATCAGCTTACGTTGTTGCATTACAATATTTCTGATAGCATGAGTTTTTCTGTGCTTGAATTCGAACTGTAAGCCCAATACTTGTTTCACTCTCAAATCCTCTGGAATTATAAATACTTTTGACAGATTTATAGTCATTAAGTTGTCAGATGTGAATACAGAATACAGAATCAATTCTATATCTGTTTTAGGCACATGTGGGTCATTTGTTTACTACTCCATTCCCATAAGATTTAGGCTTCCAGTGCCTAGTTCATAAAACTTTCTTTCATTCACTTGAATTATTCCCCATACCCCAATTTACATCCCTTCACCTCTGCTTCTTCTTTTTTATTTACTCCATACTCATTTTCCCCCATAAAACTGTTATAGTGCAGAACATACATAGTACAACTTTTATGTCACTCTACATATAACTTTACTATTTGCCTCTGTCTCTAGATGTTGCTAAAATCCTCAATAATGTTTCCCAGGAGGAGAATCCTAGAGGCAGGTAGTTCATATAAAGTGCTTTCTGCATACACTTAACTATTACTCAGACATTTGTAGTAGTTTTGTTTTAAGGTGAGCATAGTCCTTTTTTGTTTCATGGTATGGGTCATTTTTTCTTCATAAATGCTGAAAGTGTTGTGCTCAGGTACGGAATTATGATGAAGCCTTGTAAACTCGAGGTGTACCTGATATTTTCAAGTGAAGGAAAGCAATTCTGACCTAGAAGTAGACCTGGCCATCTTTTTAAGAGTAAAATGAATAGTTGTTGCTAGTTATGCTGCTCTTTAAATTATCATATCTTGAATTATATTTTTTGGAATAGAGGGCTGGGAACAAAGATCAAAAAGACTATTTAATTTCTATGAGGGCATTATTCTGTCATTATGTGCTATAGACCAGAAGGTGTTTATTCATGCCTAAGAAATGTAATAGGCTAAAATGTATATATGTATGTGTGTATATATATGTAGAGTTTTGTATATATTTGTATATATATACATGTATTATATATAATGTGTGTCTATATGTACAGACACATAAAATCGCATGAATTCTAAAGTGGTACTTACATTTATACAAATAATATACTATATGTATTATATATTATAGAGTATGTCATGTAATTCAGTCAAATAATTCCTTTTATTTACAAAAACTAGATATTTAACTATATTTTTATTTGCCTTCAATTATATGGTAAAAGCTCTAGTTTCACATTTCCCTGTGGGTGTGTGTCTGTGTGTGTGCATCTATAGAGTTAATGTATTTAATGTAATAAAGAGTTTTGCTATTTCATCTTTTCAATGGTATTATGTATTTTTAATGTTCATTATGATGTCAAGTAATTTATCTCTCACTTTAAAAGAGAGTACCTGAAAAATGGATTTATTTCCACCAACATCACATTCGGGTTTATCTTTATTTCTTTTTTCTTTTTTCTTTTTTTTTGAGATGGAGTCTCGCACTGTCGCCCAGCTGGAGTGCAATGGTGTGATCTCAGCTCACTGCAGCCTCTGCCTCCTGGGTTCAAGGGATTCTCCTGCCTCAACCTCCCGAGTAGCTGGGATTACAGGCACCTGCCACCATGACTGGCTAATTGTTTTTTTTTTTTTTTTTTTTTTGTATTTTTAGTAGAGACGGGGTTTCACTGTGATGGCCAGACTGCTCTCCAACTCCTGACCTCATGATCCGCCCACCTCAGCCTCCCAAAGTGCTGGGATTACAGGTGTGAGCCACCGCACCCAGCCCATTATTTCTATTTTTTAAGTTTAACAAAGTCAAATAGGAAGTCAAATACTGCATGTCCTCACTTCTAAGTGGGAGCTAAATAATGCGTACACAAGCACATAGAGAGTGGAATTACAGACATTAGAGACAGAAGAAATGGGAGGGTGGGAGGAAGGGTGAGGCCTGAGAAATTACCTAAAGGGTACAATGTACACTATTTTTGAGTGGTGATTACACTATAACACCCAGACTTCACCACAGCAAGATATATCCATGTAACAATACTACACTTGTACCCCCTAAATCTATAAAAATAAAACTGAAAAAAAAAACACAGAATCGTATAACTTTAGAGTTGCAGTGAATCGGAATAGAAATAGGTTATTAAATCAGACTCTTCATTTTACATGATATTTAAAACTGAGGTGTGTGGGTATGTTTATGTTTTCATAAATGAATAATTAAAACAAAACGCTTGATACTGAAGTGTTGGGGTTTTTGAGCGTCTTTTTTAACTCTTAGGATTTTCTGTGACATTCTAACTAGGAAGGAAAAATTATCCATTACTTGGTTTTCAAATTCCTTTTAAAAATTTTATAACAGCATCACTTTCTGGGAAAGCGTCTCCTAAAATGGCCTGAGGTAACCTCTATGGGATAATGGTTTATAAATACATTTTAGTTAGTTCGGTTGTAATTAGTGACACATGAGTGAAGAACCATATTTTAAGTTCATGGATACTGAGCTTAGTGAATGATGTTTTGCTTTATAAGAGTCTGTTGGGGGCCATTATGAATAATGATGAGGAAAGAATGTATATTTGCATCTATAGTGCATGCTCCACGGCAGCAAGGCCTTGAGAAACCTCACTGTCCAGGTTCCATTGCCTGAGTGGCATTGCAGACTACCCTCCCCAGCAGAGCAAAGCTGCAATCAGTGTGTTGCTGCGAGGATCATTACCTTTTTGACACCACTTTTATTGCTTCTTTCATCCTAAATTTCTTTGAGGATGAGTTTTATTCATTCTATAACTATAATACATCTAGTTTTGACATCTTTTATCAGTAATTACAAAAGAATCAGTAGCATGGAATTTGAAGCAATTCAGATATTTTCTAACTCAACTGTGTCTCTTGCTTATGTAGAGCTTTTGATATGAAACACGACAAGCAAACTTTCCTGTTTTGTACAGTGAGGATCAGGGACAGAGAATTTGCTCAAAATCTCCTAATTCAAGACAACCTTTGCACATTCTTTCTAAACCAACAACATCCTCATCTTTCTCTATTTCTTTTTTCTACTTTGTGTTCCTTCTAGCATGTGTCACTCCTTGACATTATAATATTTAATTATTATTTCACTCTCTGTATACTCAATAGAATGTAAGTTTTATGACAATAAAATTTTTATCTATTTTCTTCACCAATGACTCTTTAGTGCCAGAAATCTGTCTGGCATATTTTTACTGGATGAATGAATGACTGGATTCTGAATATGAGAACTTTGAAACTTTGAAGCTTATATACATTTAGTATATATATGTAATCACTTTATAGATTGACAGTTCCAGGGCAGTAGGCTACAGCATTCATCCCGTACTAATTCTGACTATGTTCTAGGTTTTAGGATATGGGAAGATGAATAAGATAGAATCCCTGCCCATATAGAACTTATCAACTCATAGAACTTTATAGTAATCTAATTTTCTGGGGCTGGGCTTAAAAACGGTAACAGTAGAAGTGCTTCTTTTGGTTATAGAAAGTGTAGGATGCTGAATTCGAATGTCGTGAAACATACCTACAGTAAATCCCAGAAGAGAGTTAGTCTTAGGAGTTAAGCCACTGTTCATATCAGACATGAATGAATGCAATATTAGCATATTAGCAAGGGGTGGTAATTTATTCACCCAATAGCACTTATGATAACAGTTTTTATTAAAACTATCGATTGAACCTAATGTGTTCTTCGTATGTCAACATATATTTATATCTGCAAATTACCTAGAAGGGAGCACAGGAGAAGATCAGATTTGTGGGGGATTGGGGGTCAGGCCTGAGAGAAGTCTAAATGGAGTGTAGAGTTTCATCATGAATTTTAGTCTTACCAAGGAGGAAGATCTGGGGTAAGCAGGGAAGAATGTGAGAGGCCAAAGCACCTGGCAGATGGCATTAAAGGGAAGAGAAAGTCAAATATAGAAGTGATGATGTACCAAAGAATAGTGTTTATGATTTAGGACTTTCCATAGAACTTTAGGTTCAATTCAGATATTAGAAATCATCTGGGTTAATCCTTCATTGTAGAGATGAATAAAATGAGTCTAAGAGAAATGTGTGGTGACTTGCCTAAGGACAGTTGCTAGAGCAATGAATATTTGACAAGCTTGGTTTTATAATCATTCAACATTCATTTATTTCTTTTGGTAGCAATCTCTGTGTTTTGTTTGAGGATCGGTCCTTCTTTTATTTAAGGTTTTGTGGTATATCAGCCCCATTCCCTGAGTCCAGGGGTGGAGTAGAAGACCTCAGCCTTACCCAATCAGAACACCCCATTTCCCTGGACACACTGTTGGTCTCAGTATGACTCAAGTTACATAACTTAAGTAATGGATTGCTACTCACAATCTTTTGATCTGAGCCAGGGAAGAAGTATTCTGTATTTCTAGCTTGGCTCGAACTTGAAAAGATGAGAAGCTAAAGCTCCTTCAACCATCTTACTATCACCAGGTAGAGGCTGTCTGTGACTGGAGCCAATGCAGAAGCAGAGGGAGCAGAGGGAGCAGGGGATTCTGGAACCTGGTGTCAATGGAACCTCGGCATAAAGCAAAAGAGAAATATTATCACCTCTTCTGGAATTCTCAGTTACCTGAGCCATTGAGCTCCATTTTTTATTGCTTATACATACTTGGACTAAAGGCTGGATTTGTTTGGTTCTTTTGCAATATAAATGCCCTAACTGATACACTGTGGATTCCCAGTTCAGTTTTCACCTGTTCAGTGGTTGAACATGTTCCTTTGTACCCTGACATATGGATGGACAGTCACATGGAGGGAGGTGCCTATTTGTTACGATTAGTTTTAGTCCTAAGAGAAGGCTATGAAAAAATTATTATTGTATATAAGTTAATAGTACCAAGTCTGAAATAGAAAACCTGATTCAAATCCCATTTCTACTTCTACGACCTTTGGTAATTTCCTTACACTCTCTTCTTTTCAACTCTTTCAGATGCAAATGGAGATAATAATTGTACTTTTATCTTGAGATCACTGTGAGGATTAAATGAGATTTTATGTCTGTAGCACCTATCAAAGTCCAGAACATTGTAAACACTCAAAATTATGTTATGGTGATTAACATTGTGTTGTGTTAACAATTGCTTAGCAGAGAAACTGGCATGGCATAATTACAGACTAAATGGCTGATGAAAAATCAGTAGTTTTGACTGGGTAAGGTGGCTCACACTTGTAATCTCGGCACTTTGGGCAGCCGAGGTGGGTGGATCATTTGAGGTCAGGAGTTCGAGACCGACCTGAACAACACGGTGAAACCCCATCTCTACTAAAAATACAAAATTAGCCAGGTGTGGTGGCACATGCCTGTAATCCCAGCTACTTGGGAGGCTGAAGCAGGGGAATCACTTGAACCCGGGAGGCGGAGGTTGTGGTGAGCCAAGATCACGCCATTGCACTCCAGCCTAGGCGACAAGAGCGAAACTCCATCTCAAAAAAGGAAAAAAAAAAAAAAATCAGTAGTTTTAGTACGGGATCAGAAGACTTTGACCTTATTCTCTCCTTCTAAGATTTTACTTTTTGAATCTCATTTTGGCCCTTTTTCAGTTTTGTAACCTTTACTTAGGCAATGTGTTTTAGGCTCTCATTTCTTTGTTTTGTATCAAAAGACCATTTCGGGATTTTAGTTCCATTCATGAGTTACTTCTGTATGGTTAGGTTAATAATAGACAACCTGTCAGTTAATAAAATATGCTCAGAAAAATGGTCGATCCACTTATTTTTATTTCTAATTTGTTCTTATATAATCTCTAAAAATGCTTCTTAAAAGTTTTATTTTCAGAGATGCCAATCATTTTTGGCCCAATAAATATCAATGTATGCTTTGGAAATATGTATTAGAACAGATAGAAAAAAAAAGATCTTTCAGGGTGCTTGCAATGATTTTATGTTCTTCACAAGGAAAAACCTCTTTTTGCATTAATAGACCAGTTCTATGTATTTCTTTTTTAAATTAAAATTTATCCTTACTTTTTACAATTACACTATTCAAGAGGTTTGGATTTCTCTGATTATTTGTTAACTATCTCTCATCACTGTTAGCATGTACCAGAAGCACAGTTCTAAGTGAGAATGGACCACATGCTGAAGGAATGGGATAACCTAGACAGTGAGAATTTTAGTAGGTATGGTAACCTGGGACTCTCCTTGTCGTTTCCTTACTGGATGGTTAATGAGAATCTGTGTAGAAAGAGTAATTCTAAGGCAAGATTTTGCAAATACTTTTCTTTCATTCTATACCATAATTTTTGTTTGTGTGTGATGGGTGCTTCTGTATATTTGTCAGAGGCATGTAAACCAGAGCAACTCCATCTTAAATAGGGGCTGGGTAAAATAAGGCTGGCCTTCATTCCCATACAGTTAAAACATTCGAAGTCACAGGATGAGACAGGAGCTTGGCACAAGATACAAGTCATAAAGACCTTGCTGATAAAACAGGTTGCAGTAAAGAAGCCAGCCAAAACACACCAAAACGAAGATGGCCATGAGAGTGACCTCTGGTCGTTCTCACTGCTACACTCCCACCAGCACCATGACAGATTACAAATGCCATGGCAACGTCACAAAGTTACCCTATATGGTCTAAAAAGGGGAAGCATGAATAATCTACTGCTGTTTAGCATGTCATCAAGAAATAACCATAAAAATGGGCAACCAGCAGCCTTCAGGGCTTCTCTATCTATGAAGTAACTATTATTTTATTCCTTTACTTTCCTCATAAACTTACTTTCAAATTACCCTGCGGACTCACCCTGAATTCTTTCTTCAGTGAGATCCAAGAACCCTCTCTTTGGGTCTGGATCAAGACCCCTTTCCTGTAACATATTCAGGCCAAACTCCAATAATATAGAATCATTTTGATTAAAATAATATTGTTTATAGTTCTCCAAATAGAATAGCTTCTACTATATTTTAGGGTACAAGCTCCTAGGACCCTAAAGAGAAGTCTACAAGTGACCTAGAATACAAGAATAAATTTTTAGAGCATGGGAAAAGCAATGGTTCTGGGAGCCCTTCTAACAACCAGTGTCTGAGTGGACCACTTGGATACAAATCTATTAAATGTTTTGTCGATGCTACATAAAAGTATGTTTTTTTATGGATAGAACATTTCTTTGAATCAATGTGACCTGGTAGCTTGAATAATAGATTTTTATGAACTTAGTACATCTAATTTGGAAATTAAAATGGTGACACTCACAGTTTTGTAAATTTATCCAGCTGTATATTTCTTGGAAGCATGAATAGGGTGTCTGAGAGAAGAAAGTATACTTAAATAGACTCGTTTCTTCCCACAGCATTGACTTGTTTCTCTCCCCTGGTTTCTAGGTCCTACTATAAAATGGAGAAAGAGTATATTAGTCAGGTTTTTAGCTACAGAACACAAAATCTATTCTAGCTGGTTTTAATTCAAGGGGGCTATTATGGCTCGCATAATCATTGGCAGACCTGATAAAACAGACACTGGAAGCTTTCTGGAATGATTTTTCTAACCGTACAGTAGAGCTTGATTACAAAGGGAATAATGGATGATTCTTTCAAGAACCTGTTGAATCAAGAAATCACAGCCACAACTGTCAACTCCAGCCCTACAAAACCTGTGCCACTATTTACACCAAAAAGATGCATGTCATACGCTCTGCTCATCTCCTTCTATGGAACTCAGTTTAGATTCAGTTTCCTGGGAGTATACCAACTGGCAGATCTAAATTATGTCTGGAATCCTAGCTGCTATAGAGTATGGGAAATCTTGTATTTAGCCTTCAAGCCAATGCAGACAGGAAGGCACACTAAAAGAGGTTTGGAATGATTGCTGAGTGAGCTGGCTACAGTATCTGCTACATGGGGTCTGGAGGTGTACATGTTTTAATAATTTAAGAACCTGACTCATGACATCCTTAGAAACAGACAATTCAGATTCAAGTCTTGCAATATTTGGATTATAAATATTATTATTTGGCAGTGGGAATAAAAGGGAGGGAGAGAGATGGGAGTAAACAGGAAGGTATTAACAGAAGCTGGGACCTTAGGTTTCGACAGATTCATGTTCATGAGACCACTTTTAGATTAGTCAGTTTCTATATAACTCTCTCTACTCTGCTTTCTTCATGGCCTGTCACTTGCATAAAACATAATCTTGGCTTACCTCTTTATCTGGCTCATTCAACCTCTTAGTGGAGGATAGAAACCACTTATCCCTTTGGATAGGACAGAAAGTTTTTGTCTGTAAGTAAGGAATAAACAGTTTTCTCTGTGGTTCTTTCATTTTTCTATATGACCAACATCAAATGCACCATCAAATACACTGCCATCCTCCCACCACCACCACTACCCAAGAAGAGAGTTAAACTTTCTCTTTACCGGAGGTGTGCACTTTGTAGATTTGGTGCTTCCTTTGCAGAGCTTGATGCTATTGCCAGCAATGTCTTTTCGCGGAATGCTCAAAGACTGGTGGGGCTTGGCATCGGTATAAGTGCAGGGATGGGGGTCTGATGTATTAGCAAGTATATTATGGCCCCACATCAAACTCTCAATTTCCCAGCCTTGCTGAATTAGCTGCTTCTTTCCTTGTCTCAAGTGGCAGCATGTGGGCAGAAACTTCAAGATGAGGAGCATCTGTTACCACTTTTGAATTTTCAGTTTTCCCTAAAACTCAAACCTGAAACCTAGTGCACAGCTGAGTGAATAAGCAAGCTGTGTGTTTGAGTGGCAAATCACAGCGTGACTACACCCTCCTGGAGCAGCTCTGCAGACTTCCTCCTTGTCAAGAAGCAGATAGGGTCTGCTGTCTGTGGCTCCTTAAGGCTGTCTCTCCACAGGCAGGGCTGCGCTGTGAAAGAATTGAGTTGTTTGGCTGCGCTGTGAAAGAATTGAGTTGTTTTTAGAATTTCCTTTTGATGCTCTTTTGATTCTAATTTTCTTTAAGAAGAACTGAGATATTATAGCCAAAATTAGAAAAGCCATCTTATTTCGTTCTCCCAATATGTTCAATTATTGGAGACAAAGAATTTTTGGCTTCATCAGAGTGTTTTGGAACAAGTATTTACAAATAATTACCTAGTGGCCCTTGGTAGAAGACTTCCTTGCATTTTTGTTTTCCTTAGGAAAAAAAATATTCCAATTGTTATTTCAAAAATTCTGAATTCTGTGAAAGTTTTATAAGATGTCAGGCATTATCAAAGGTCTACAAAATAGGCTCTTTCTTTGCCTGCACAGATGCCCTTGTCCATTTAAACAATTCAGCACAGTTGACTGGGTGAGTCAATTACATTAATGTCTGCTATTTGGTAGAAAATAAGTGGTCATTTGAGTCTAGTAAAGGACAATAGTTATCTTCTAACAGGGATTGGCAATATTAAATGTTGAATTTAATTGCTAGAAGTATAAAACTGTATGTCAACTGGATAAATGCTTTTCCAAGTGAAGAGAAAATTCAGATGGTTAGAAATGTTTTCATTTTCAAACTTACAGTCCTTAAGTTAATAAAATTTAAATTTAATAAATATATTTCCACATGAATGTAATGCTGAAATAATTTGTCTAACACCAGGATATGCTGCTGCTATCAGTTCTAATGGCATTTGTTACAAACATGCCTTACCTAAAATGTTTTACAGCAATAATTTCTTTGTCTATTAGTATTAAATGAGTTTCTTTTGAAAGAGCCTATGTAGAGGAGGGTTGAGGGTGTCATTTGCTGTTGTAGTATGCTATCAATACAGTATGAAACCTCTACTTTTTGAAATTTTAAATCCTGTTTATTTGTTATTTAGGTGAATTTGAGCAAACATTCTGCATCTGTTTTCTCATAGGTAATCTGACAATAATCTGAAATTAAAAATTTTCTGGACAATTAAATGTAGTCATTGATGTGCTCAATAACAATTTATTGGGCACCTACTCAGTGCCAGGCACTAAGCTACTATTTTGAAATAAGATCCATTACTGCCACCAAGAAGCTATAATCTAGAATATGAAAAAGCACTTTGGAAACATGGACAGTGCTAAACAAACACATGTAGTTACTATTTAAAAATGTAAAGGCAGAAGTAAAAATACTTTGAGACAAAATATTCAGTGGTATAGTCTTAGAAATACCTTAAAAGCAACTTCCAATATTTGATGAGTTTAGACAGTGCATTCTCTTAAAGAGAATCCCTACTTTTCAGAGACTTCATCACAAGTAACTATGATAATATTTTTCTAATCCAAACTGTCACATGACCCAAGCAAAACTTTCATTATCTCACCAATAACTAATTTACAACAAGGCCATTGACTGTTTTTTCTTTTTTTTTATTATTATACTTTAAGTTTTAGGGTACATGTGCACAATGTGCAGGTTAGTTACATATGTATACATGTGCCATGCTGGTGTGCTGCACCCATTAACTCGTGATTTAGCATTAGGTATATCTCCTAATGCTATTCCTCCCCCCCTCCCCCGACCCCACAACAGTCCCCAGAGTGTGATGTTCCCCTTCCTGTGTCCATGTGATCTCATTGTTCAATTCCCATCTATGAGTGAGAGCATGTGGTGTTTGGTTTTTTGTCCTTGCGATAGTTTACTGAGAATGATGATTTCCAGTTTCATCCATGTCCCTACAAAGGACATGTATTCATCATTTTTTATGGCTGCATAGTATTCCATGGTGTATATGTGCCACATTTTCTTAATCCAGTCTATCATTGTTGGACATTTGGGTTGGTTCCAAGTCTTTGTTATTGTGAATAGTGCCGCAATAAACATACATGTGCATGTGTCTTTATAGCAGCATGATTTATAGTCCTTTGGGTATATACCCAGTAATGGGATGGCTGGGTCAAATGGTATTTCTAGTTCTAGATCCCTGAGGAATCGCCACACTGACTTCCACAATGGTTGAACTAGTTTACAGTCCCACCAACAGTGTAAAAGTGTTCCTATTTCTCCACATCCTCTCCAGTACCTGTTGTTTCCTGACTTTTTAATGATTGCCATTCTAACTGGTGTGAGATGGTATCTCATTGTGGTTTTGATTTGCATTTCTCTGATGGCCAGTGATGATGAGCATTTTTTCATGTGTCTTTTGGCTGCATAAATGTCTTCTTTTGAGAAGTGTCTGTTCATATCCTTTGCCCACTTTTTGATGGGGTTGTTTTTTTCTTGTAAATTTGTTTGAGTTCATTGTAGATTCTGGATATTAGCCCTTTGTCAGATGAGTAGGTTGCAAAAACTTTCTCCCATTTTGTAGGTTGCCTGTTCACTCTGATAGTAGTTTCTTTTGCTGTGCAGAAGCTCTTTAGTTTAATTAGATCCCATTTGTCAATTTTGGCTTTTGTTGCCATTGCTTTTGGTGTTTTAGACATGAAGTCCTTGCCCATGCCTATGTCCTGAATGGTAATGCCTAGGTTTTCTTCTAGGGTTTTTATGGTTTTAGGTCTAACGTTTAAGTCTTTAATCCATCTTGAATTGATTTTTGTATAAGGTGTAAGGAAGGGATCCAGTTTCAGCTTTCTACATATGGCTAGCCAGTTTTCCCAGCACCACTTATTAAATAGGGAATCCTTTCCCCATTGCTTGTTTTTCTCAGGTTTGTCAAAGATCAGATAGTTGTAGGTATGCTGTGTTATTTCTGAGGGCTCTGTTCTGTTCCATTGATCTATATCTCTGTATTGGTACCAGTACCATACAGTTTTGGTTACTGTAGCCTTGTAGTATAGTTTGAAGTCAGGTAGCGTGATGCCTCCTGCTTTGTTCTTTTGGCTTAGGATTGACTTGGCGATGCAGGCTCTTTTTTAGTTCCATATGAACTTTAAAGTAGTTTTTTCCAATTCTGTGAAGAAAGGCATTGGTAGCTTGATGGGGATGGCATTGAATCTATAAATTACCTTGGGCAGTATGGCCATTTTCACGATATTGATTCTTCCTACCCATGAGCATGGAATGTTCTTCCATTTGTTTGTATCCTCTTTTATTTCATTGAGCAGTGGTTTGTAGTTCTCCTTGAAGAGGTCCTTCACGTCCCTTGTAAGTTGGATTCCTAAGTATTTTATTCTCTTTGAAGCAATTGTGAATGGGAGTTCAGTCATCATTTGGCTCTCTGTTTGTCTGTTATTGGTGTATAAGAATGCTTGTGATTTTTGCACGTTGATTTTGTATCCTGAGACTTTGCTGAAGTTGCTTATCAGCTTAAGGAGATTTTGGGCTGAGACGATGGGGTTTTCTAGATATACAATCATGTCATCTGCAAACAGGGACAATTTGACTTCCTCTTTTCCTAATTGAATACCCTTTATTTCCTTCTCCTGCCTAATTGCCCTGGCCAGAACTTCCAACACTATGTTGAATAGGAGTGGTGAGAGAGGGCATCCCTGTCTTGTGGCAGTTTTCAAAGGGAATGCTTCCAGTTTTTGCCCATTCAGTATGATATTGGCTGTGGGTTTGTCATAGACAGCTCTTATTATTTTGAGATATGTCCCATCAATTCCTAATTTATTGAGAGTTTTTAGCATGAAGGGTTGTTGAATTTTGTCAAAGGCCTTTTCTGCATCTATTGAGGTAATCATGTGGTTTTTGTCTTTGGTTCTGTTTATATGCTGGATTACATTTATTGATTTGTGTATATTGAACCAGTCTTGCATTCCAGGGATGAAGCCCACTTGATCATGGTGGATAAGCTTTTTGATGTGCTGCTGGATTCAGTTTGCCAGTATTTTACTGAGTATTTTTGCATCAATGTTCATCAAGGATATTGGTCTAAAATTCTCTTACGGACTGTTTTTTCTAATCATAGCCTCACTCTGGTTTTATAGTGTTTGAAACATACACATTTGGGAGTCATCTTCAAGAAAATGAATCTATTGCCAACAATACTTTAAAAAGCATCAGATACCACAAACAACATAAAATTCAAAAATATTGCTGTAGTAATTAACTTTCTCTAATGATGTTTTCCTTACTTGTTGATGTCTGCTTACTCCTTGATCACCTCTTCTATGAAAATAATTTTTAAAAATCACTTTCTATAGACATAATAGAGTTTAGTCTCTTGTCAAACATAGTAAATTGAAAATTGATTTTTTCTTTTCTTTTTTGAGATGGAGTCTCGCTTTGTTACCCAAGCTGGAGTGCAGTGGGGTGATCTTGGCTCACTGCAACCTCTGCCTCCTGGGTTCAAGCGATTCTCCTGCCTCAGCCTCTGAGTAGCTGGGATTATAGGCATGTGACACCACACCCAACTAATTTTTGTATTTTTAGTAGAGATGGGGTTTCGCCATGTTGGCCAGGCTGGTCTCGAACTCCTGACCTCAAGCGATTCGCCTGCCTCAGCCTCCCAGCATGTTGTGATTACAAGCATGAGCCACCGCACCCAGCCTATTGATGGTAATTTAGAAATGCTTTTTCGGCTTCACCGTTCCTTATTGATAATGTTATGTACAGCTTTCAGATTTCTGTCAAGTTTAGGAAGACTTCTATGAAGTGTCTTTGGAATGTGAGTTACACAATTTGGAAGAATTTTCCTTGGTCCTGTTCATTTTAAACCTAGTTTCTCTCCTGCTACTATGTACTATCTGCCAGGCATTTGCATACAAGTTTATATCCTGATTAGGTCTCTGCCCCTGCATATACATGTTGTGAAGCTGGGTGAGCTGGTGTAGCTAGGGGTAAAAGCATTCCTGAAATTCATTTCTACACTGGTATGTCCATCAATAATTTAACCATACATGGAAATGATTGGAAAGAACTGTATATCTCATTAAATCCAAGATAACCATATCTTCAACTCAACTTCCCCTTAATAGGATTCCCCAAATCCCCACAACCTCTCTAATGCCACCCACATGCAGGGAGAGTAGACAGAGTGGAAGGAGGAATAGAAACAGAGAAGCAATTATGTGAAAACCATCTTCAAACTGTAAATATAAGAAGTACAATTGACCAGACGAACACACTGTTAGAAACCCTTTCCACCTCCTGGAAGGGCTGTGAAAGGAGCCTGTGCAGTCAAAGAAGATCTAAAACTATGCTTCACTATCCAATGGAAGATTTTCCTCCATGCTTAGTGTAGGCATTTCTTCACAGAGCAGAATATTTATTGGATGGGTGTTATCTTTGAAATAGTATTATACAATTACAGCATTTTAATGTGACAGTCATAGGGTTCCATTTTCTCGAACAACACCTTTATTTTAAATATTATCTCTATCAGCTGCTAATTTGTTTTGAAGCATTTATTCTTAATTTATTTATGCAGACATCACCCATGCTGGATACTGTGCTGAGCTCTGCAAATGATCAGAGATATAGAAGAGTTATCCACTACCCTCTTGAAATTGTAGTTAGGTTTATAATAGAGAATACAGAATTTCCAAACTAATATTATCATTCCTTGGACCTCCTAGCTTTTATCTGAGATTTTACAAAATAATGCAGAAAAATCGCTGCTTTCTGAAATGTCTCTTAGTATTTTTCTCAAAAACCAGTGGCACACTTCTAATAGTCTCTAACATTCTTTATTTTTAAGCGAATTATGCCACATCTTACTACCAGTATGCAAATTTCCCAAGCTGTCTCTCTTTGCTCCATGTAGCTTTATAATTAAATGTTTATGGCTATGTCCCTTGGCAGAGACTGATGAAGGATAAAAATCTTCGAACATTGCTAAGAGTCTTAAAATGATGTCTTATTACTAGATCCATGGGGCTGTCTAAGCACCTCATTTTCTTGCAGTGCTTTTTTTCTAGCATTTTCACTATGTTGAAGATATTTTCCTTTTGTATTTATTTCAGATATAATGATAATCACCCTGGGTCTTCTCGCATGTAAGTTGGTGAAGTGTAAGAAAGGCTGAACTTGAGAGTATGTGTGAGGACTGCTGTGGTGAGATTGTATTCACACAGACTAGAGAATATCAAAAGTTATCACTAAACAAGTGGGAGAAATGCTAAAGTTTTACCCACTCTTTTTACACTGGCAGTTTTAAATAGTTCTTCACATTAGAAAATAGAACACTTAACCTCCCAGGGAAGTATGTTCCATTAGATTATATCTCCAAAGTATGGAACAATTCATTTCCAGGAAATAGGTACTTGAACAAGAGGCTTTATGAAAGTTATTTTTTCCATACAAAGTCATATTCCCACTTCCCATCCATTTACAAGAAGCAAAGTCTTAGTAGTGTTATAATGAATAGCTGATCTTTACTTCCATTTATTAACATGTAAGAAATATTCAGATCTAGCCTCAAAGTACGCAGCCATGTAAGCAAGAACAATTAATGGTTTAAGACATAAAGTTCAGAATCCATTAAAAATTGTAGTCTGGTCATTAGGTGATGAGTGGCAAAAGGCATTTAAAAAATGTTTTGAGGCATTTTAAATGACACGAGACTAGACGAGAATAGCTTGTATATAGAATAGTGATTCTCACCGTTTTTATATCAGAGATGCCTTGAGAATTTTATGCAAGTATAGGTCCACTTAGAAACATGCACACACAAAAAATTTAGGGGTTTCATTGAACCCTCCAAGTCAATTGTCTATCAGGTTTTGAATCTTTCTTTGCCCTAGACTTGCTTTCTAGTGCTTCTTTCCTTAGGAATACACATGCAACATGATGACTGTGGAAAACCAAGAACACTTGAGAGCAATGGAATCACATAGCATACTTCTGAATTTCACGAAGCATTGGATTTTGGTCTCAGTGAAATCGACTCCTGTATTACCAGTGCCATTGTCTTTCTCATGACATGGTAAAGGCTTGCTTTTGCTGCCGGAATAGCCTCTTAACTGTTCAGTCTGTTACTCTTCTTGCATCTTCCACTCCCTGTCACACTGGCTGCCAGAGCCATCAATCCAAATTATTCATCTCACAATTGGAACCCTTCACTGCCACCTCTACCTCATAAGCCCAAGTCCTGTATCATGACCTTTCATCTTGCCCCTGGGTATTATTCCAGCATCACATCCCACAGTTCCATTTTCCTCATACCCTCATTAGATGCTCAATAATTATACTCCGTCATTGCAGAAACTTTTATAGTTCCCTGAAACACAAGATCATGATCTATAATCTTCATTCTTCGCCCATTTGCTCAGACTTGACTTTCATCTCTTGTTCCCCTTGTGAACCATTCCTAATTCTTCAAAACTCAATGCAGAGTTCAGTTCCAGTGGGAACCCCTCCCAGGCAGTGCTAATCACTTCTCCCTCTGATTCATGGTATCTTGAGCAGGGTTCTAGTGTTGCTGAATAGGAGTCAAACAGATATTTTTGAATGAGTGGATTAATGAGCACAGGGAAGATGAGTTACAAAGCACTTTTTTTCTTTCTTGGGGAACATAGGTTGTTTTATGAGGGGAGAGCACAGGGTACATATTGGGATGCACTAGGCAGTTCTAACATGGCCCCATGCTACCACTTTTTGGTTTTCATGCCCTTATACAATCCCCTTCTCTAGAGTGTGGGTAGGCCTCACTTCTAATGTATATGATGCAGCAAAAGTGATGAGATGAGGTTACAAAAGAACGACTTCATTCTTGCTTGCATTCTCTCTCTGGCTCTTCTTGCTTCTTGCTCTGTTGAAGCCAGATGCCAAGTTGTGAGCTGCCGTATGGAGAAACCCATGTGGAAAATAACTGAGAGTAGCCTCCAGTCAATAGCCAGGGAGGGAAGAATCCTGCCAACAATCATGTGAGCAAGCTTGAAAGCAGATTCTTTTTCAGTTGAGCTTTGAGAGGAAAGCAGCCCCAGGTGACATTTTGAATACAGCCTTGAGAGAGATGCTGAGCTAGATAACCCAATTAAGCCATTCCTGGATTCCCAACCAACAGAAATGGCAAGATAATACATGTTATTTTAATCCACTAAGCTTTAGGGTAACTTGTTATGCAGCAATATGTTACCGATACGTAAGTGGTGGGAGATAAGACCAGAAAGACAGTTTGAGTCTACATGGTGAAGGGCCTTGTATGGCATGTGAAAGAGCAGTAGGCAGAAGAATGTCTTCCCACCACCCACTCCCAAGATGTTCATTTCCTAGTTCCTGAAAACTGTGAATGTATTAGGTCACATGGCAAGGTGGAATTCAGGTTGCTCCTGGAATTAAGGTTGCTAATGAGCTGACTTTAGAATAGGAAGATTAGTTTACATTATCTGGTAGGCTCAATGTAATCACAGGCGTCCTTACAATGCAATTACAGAGGGCCTTGAAGAGGAAAGCAGGAGAAACAGAGTCAGGGAAAGAGATGTGATGTTGAAAGCAGAGGCCAGAATGTTACAATTGCTGGCTTTGAAGATGCAAAGGGGCCATGAGCATCTGAAGAAACACAGTCAGCCTTCAGATGATAGAAAAGGCAGGGAAATGGATTCTCTCCCAGAGCCTGTAGAAGAAGCCCAACTCTTTTCACACCTTGATTTTAGTTCGGTGAGACCCATTTCAGACATGTGACCTGCAGAACTGTAAGATGATAAATGTGTCTTGTTTTAAGCTAAAAAAGAAAAATAATTCTAGTTATGCTTTTATTATACCATACTTAAATTTTTGCTGTTTACTTATTTGAATTGCCAACCAGATAGAGAGGGTTTCTTGTGACTAGAAAGGTTTCTATCTTCAGAGTCCAGCACCACAGCCAGTGCAGTGTGTAGGTGTAAGCTGCAAGGCTGTTGAATTGAGAAGTGCAAGCGCTGTCTTTTGAAACTTTCAAAAAAGTCCGTCTTATGCTTAATAATAACTTTTTTATGTGAAGAAAAATGAATAGCACATTTTAATTAATTGTGTATCTGGGCATTAAATTAGTAAAATAGCAGTAGTTTTTGAAAATCATCTGAAGCCAACGTTATAAAATGAATCCTTAGAAGGAAAGAGCATGGATTCAAGTAATATGACCAGAAAGGAGAAGATGAGGGGAAAAAGAGAAAGAAAAAAAAAAAGACACGTAGATGAGGATCTCTATGTAATAAATTGGCAAATATTTTAAAATATCACCTCTGGGCTGGCCCCAAATCCCTGATGTCAATTTAAGGTGCAGGAAGTTGGCAAATTAGTGATGATTTTTATCTCAAAGAATGGCGTACTTGACCTACTGGAGCTTGCAGATATCACTTCAAAATAACATTTGAGCATTTTCTAATTCAATTGCTCTAACTACTTAGCAATAGAATCAGATAATCATTATTATACTAATTTTAAACGCTATCCTTTGTCTTTTAATATATCTTATTCAGTTATTTATCTCAGACCATTTATTTCAAGAGATGGTTGTTTTATCCATGAAATACAGCAACTACTTTTAAAACTTTCTACTGATAAAAAGGTCATTCTTGATATTTCTAGTAAGTACATATATTTATTCTGCTATAACTATAGGATAAATGCCATTTTATTTTGTAGTTAATTATCTCTTTATTTTGACCTTTTCATGTTTCCTAGAGATATTTTCCTTTATGTATTGTCATCTTAAGGATAACAATATTCTAGTTTGTTGAAATAATTAAGTACAAATCACAAGACAACAGGAGTAGAAGAAATGCTGCTGCATTGTTAGTAAGGCACTTGTTTCTGTTTTGTTTTTAACATCAATCTTATGTTTTCTCAGTATATATGTTAATTATTTGATACAAAAACAATCACTGAATATAGAAATAGAATTGACATTCTAAAATTTTAGTTGGCTATATATAACTGGTTTTATTTTGGAAACAGGGTTAATAACAACAAGCAAAACGTGATAAACAAATAAATTTAGAAAAGTGGAAGAATAATATTTATGGAGTTTCCATGCACCAGGAGAGCAGATTAAGCTTTAGAATGGGCCTTCAAAATAAATAGCTGACTTTTTTTTCACATATGTGATTGCATAGATGATGTGTGTATATAGGAATATGTGTGTATATATGTATGCATCTATAAATATGAATATATATAATTACATATACATAATAATATATGTTTATATATAACATATATAATCTTTTTTATATAATATATAACCTACATTAATATCAGTAAATTACATTATAGTGTATGTGTATGTGTGTGTGTGTGTATATATATATATATATATATATCTCCAAGAAGAGAAACATCCAAGAAGAAATTAACTTAAAGTGAATTGAAACTTTTTTTTACATTTCAGAAATCAAAGCCTGCAATTGTGACTTTAAGATCATATGTATGCCAATCACCCATGACCCTCAGTTTACCTATATAGCAAACCTGCACATGTACCCTGGAAACTAAAATAAAAGTTTAAAAAATGTGTTGCAGTTACTTGATTTATCAGTTTTAAGTAATTCTTTCTTATGAAATGTGAGCAAATCAGGGCACTAAAGCTTTCCCCCTTCTTCCCTCACTCCATCTCCTGTTTCTTTGTTATTGATTCAAATTATTCCTCTATTCCAAAATTCCTGTTGTTATACTTTAATTTGTCCTTACAAACAGTGGCCCAAATCAAAAGCTATTGTACTTTATATGAGGGTTTCTCTCATGCTGTAAAATGTTATTTTCTTCCAGAAATGGAGAAAAACATTTGCTTATATGTGAAAACAAGTAAAATTCATGAAACAAAACAAAACTAAAATAATAATTTCATAATTATAGGACACTTAAATGTGGTAACAGCATTGTCAGAAGCTGGGTTCTTAGAGGTCTCAGGAAACATCAGTGCCCAACCTAGAAAGTATTTATTTACTCTGTGAATGGCAGCTGGTCCTTTCTTCTCTGAGGGTAGGTTGTCAACCGATATATCTTTGAATCAATACCATTTTGAAGGAGTCACCAAGTTAATTTATCCTTTTAGTGTCTCCTGTATATGGATTGACAGCTAGGCAGACAGCAAGAGTATAAACCTGTGTTTCTTAAGATAAAATAGTTGGTGGGGAATTCTAGACTACTGTAATTATTATCACTGTAACTTAAACATAATGGCAGGTTGCCTTTTGATTCAGACTCTGATGGTGTAAAGGGATTTGAAAAATGAAACAAGCTTTCAGTTCCCTGTTTACAGAGGATTGAGTTGGCATCACATAGGCAAAGCAGGGACAAGATTTCAATAAAACTGACAGAAATAAAACGTCTTAATTTCCATTTATCCATAATTATGATTGTCATGCTGATTAATCACAGGCCATGTCTTAAGCTTCTCAGGATTTAGGGACAGGTGAAATTGTAATAATACCTTTGATCAATTATTGGGTGTTAATTATTCTAAATGAAATTGGTCCTCTTGACCCTTTCCTTGTCACACAGGAAAAGGTTCCTGCTTTGTCCTCTTGAGCCTCGTTTTGTTGGAGCATCTGCTTCCATTGGCTCTGACAGGAGCTCTTTCCTTAGGGAATCCCGTTCTTGCCTTTTTCCTTCTAATTATTCAGAATGTTTCCCTCTTTCCTTTAGCTACCTGCATCAAGCAAAGCTGTATTCAGTGATTTCTCCTGAGATGACGCTCTGCTGGCAACTCACCATCGACAACACAAATGTGACAAGAAGTCATCTAACAACTTGAAACTATAAACAAGAAAAAGGTATACCCATGAAGCTTAAGCAAAGAGGATATCCGTGTAGTAGGCTTCCTGGTGTTTCAAAGATCTTCCAGAAAAGGGACTTTATTATCTTGCACTCAGTGGGTGCTTAAAATATACTCTTTGATGATACCAATGATGATTGTTTTAGTTGTGCCTCTTTCAAAGGAAATACAAGGTAATCATTATGGCTTTTCAGCTGCTGAGTTGGGCAGCCTTTCAAATTTGTTTGCTGCTTATTCAATTTTCCTTAATATTAGCTGCACATGGAATAACCTGGGGAAGTTTAAAATATTGATGCCTGGATCTCATCCTCAGAGATTCTAACTTACTTGGGCTAGCATGTAGCCAGGACCTTGGGATTTTAAAAACCTCTTAGGTGATGTGTACATGCCAGCAAGGTTGAGAATCATTGTCTAAATTGCATTAGCTGGTATATGCTGGGTGCTTTGGTGCCAGCCCTGTGCTAGGTGCATTACATATGGCATCTTGTTTGCTCAGCAAAACAATGCCATGAAGTTGCAATTATTACCTCCATTTTGCAGATAAGGGGAACCAAACTCAGACAGGCTCAGTGAATTTTTCAAAGTCACATGGCTGGCAAACAGTGAAGGAAGGATTTCACCCAGGTATGTCCACAGTTATATGCTGCTGACCATCTTCACTGGCAGGTTTTTGGCCAACGTAGAACTCATGGCTGGTTACATGTTGTGCATGGTGTAAGGGAGATTCCTTTGTTGCCAGGAGGTTGAGCTGGTCAGTGTTTTCCAACCTTTCCTAGTGATGAGAATTTTCTGGGGTTTCCAAGCTTCTTCCCTGGAAACTGATTCAGCATTTCTGGATTGGAGGTCCAATAATTTTGTTGTTGTTGTTGTTATTGTTGTTGTTAGCAAATGCTTTGGCTGATTCTTACTTTAGAGAAGCTGGGGAAGCTCTGGATGAGATGACTGGTGAAGAATTCCATGATGAATTCTCCAAGTCCTTCTAAGGAAAAACTGAAAACTCTGTAGTTGTGAATCCCAATGAACCAACAGTGACAGGGATAACCTTTACACCATGTCCCTATAAGTTGCAGGCTCTGCACCTTACCTTGGCTCCAGTGTTTACAGTCTCCTCTTACTGCATCCATCCTAGCAGTGTGTTGGGACCAATGCCTTTTACATACTTCTGGGCCTGCTTCATCATTTAAGTTCTTTCCTCTATTCCAAGAGCTGATTTTGCTCATCTGTGCCCATCTTACCTCTATGCTCTGTGATGTCAAGTTGATAGCTTGAAATTGGCCATAAGAGGTTTTTATTTTATTTTTTAATTAAAATCTTACAATAGAGTGGTTTTATAGGTACTGACAAGTTACAAAGATAGAAGAGAGATTTCTCTTATACTCTTTGGTGGAAGTTTTTACAACATAAATATCAGCAAATGCTAAAATTAGGACTCTGCCCCATTTCCTACACACCATCCTGAAGCCCATTTTTAAACATTTAAGGCACACCACTATTTAAGCATTCAGCACCACCTACAGAGAGTGTTAGCATTGCTGGCTGGAAAAAGAAAAGTTTCATTAGATATTTTCAGATGTTTTGTTTCGGTAGGATTCTCACTTAAAAAAATATACAAATCTAGGAGAATGTATACTCAAAGGACAGGAGATGGAATGCAATGCTAATTCTACTTGATAAATATTAAACAGTGGTGAACATACTGGGAAAAAAGCAAATGATATCTGTATTTTGTATTTTATATATCTAAAGAGAAGAACTGGTAAATTTGATCTGAAAAATTCTATAAGCATCTATTGGCTCAAGCTAAGCCTCTAGGTATAATGCACTTATTTTTTATGAAGTGTTTATATAATTAGAAGCTTCACTGCAACTCGTGATAAAATTTTGCTTCATATTTACTTCATATAGTTTAATATTTTAAAATTTCTATCTTGGAGACGTATGGACTTATGACTTTTTCAAATATTTTAAGGATTTTATAAAGTGTTTTAATTTAGGAAACAAAAATCATTGCCAATTACAAAAGCCATGTTATGTGTCAAATCAACGTGAGCTTTGCTAAATCTAACTTCTCCGTCAAGAGCAAGGCCAGGTCTCACTCACTCCAGAAAGCATTTCCTGCCCACTCCAGCCAAGAATGTTCCTTCCTCTTTCTGATCTATTACTGCTTTTCCCCACAAATTGTTTATTTGGTACTTAACGTCAGAAGACCTGTATTTGCAAGGTTGTCTTTCAGCTGTCTTAAGATAGCTCCTATTTCATTACAGATCTTTGGCTTTGATATTTATCTTATTATGTGCATTTGTTTCATTTTTCTTGCACAGATTTCCTAGAATCTTAAATTTCCTTTTGTCTTTGGCAGAGATTTAAAGGTCATCTTTCTGATACCTATTTGGTGATATCCCCTTAGAAAATCTCCTCCTTGTTGCTATTTAGTCATTGAGCCAAGGTGGGCTTCAAGGGCATGTGACCCTGTGCAGTTACCCAGGACTCCTTGTTCAGAAGAACCCCACACTTGGTTTAACGCTCTGCAGTTGTGTCTGAAATTCTTCATAATTTTTGAACAATGGGCCCTGAATTTTCATTTCGCAATGGGCCTGCAAATTATGTAAGCAGTCCTGCATCCAGCTGTTGATCACTTGAGGACATTAATCACATTTTTTTCTTTATAAAAACCCCATTGCTTATCATGTAATTAGTGCTCATTAAATATTTTCTGATTGGCTTGGCTTGGTGGCTCACACCTGTAATCCCAACATTTGGGGAGACTGAGGCAGGTGGATTGTTTGAGCCCAGGAGCTCAAGACTGGCATGGGCAACATAGTGAGACCCTATCTCTAAAATACCTCTAAAAGAAAAAAAAAATTTTTAAATTAGCTGGGAGTGGTGATGCACGCCTGTGGCCCCAGCTCCTTAGGAAACTGTGGTGGGAAGATTGGGCTTGAGCCCAGGTGGTGGAGGCTGAAATGAGATGTAATCATACCACTACATTCCAACCTAGGTCACAGTGTGAGACCTAGTCTCAAAAAAAAAAAAAAATTCTGATTGTATGGAAAAGACTTCCTGCCAGTCTTTGCTGACCCCACCCCCAAAAAAATAGTCTAAGAGCGTGTACAATCTCTTTGGAGGTAAAACATTTCACAGGGGTAATGGGTTTTATTATGTAATTAAATAGTTGATGTCAGCTGTAGAAAAGGAGACTTTTTAGGTAAATAGACATATTACATTATTTTACAAGGTAACTAACATTAAAAGCAACTTTATAATACTAAAAATTAATGGTTTAGGCTTTGTGCATAACTTCAGTAACAATAATTTATGTTAAAAATATAATAACAACATAGGAATATCCAACTGAGATTTCTTGTCTCATTTTCACTTAAGCCTGAAGTTACAAAAACACCAGTTGGCAAATGTAGGTTTTGAATAATCAACTAGCAAAGCCTAAAACATTCCTTAATGTTTGTGAAAGTA
The DNA here is from genome assembly GCF_000001405.40 of Homo sapiens. Taxonomy (NCBI): domain Eukaryota; kingdom Metazoa; phylum Chordata; class Mammalia; order Primates; family Hominidae; genus Homo; species Homo sapiens. The sequence goes on from NC_000005.10 coordinate 83,915,747, forward strand.
AAGGAAAAACAAAAGAAAGGAAAATAATTTTTACTAGAGATTCAAACTGAGCTTGTACTGCTCAGTGGGAAACTTTAATCAGTTCATTATTGTTTGTTATTTTCCTTCACTGGATAAGTGAAAAACATTGAAAAATAAAATAATAAGCAAGAGGGTGGTCTTGGGTCTGTATTTGGAAAACCAACAAAACATCCACTAGCTATTTGAAAGCTAAAATATTCATAAAATTGGGGCTTTAGATCACTGTATTTTAATATTTGTATGTACAAGTGGTAAGCATGTATGATATGGAAGAAAAATACTCACTGGTATTTAAGGTGCTACCTAAAATACTGATCTAAGCAGTTTTACTGATGCTGTATACATACTAATAAAACAGTCTCCTTTTTATAATTGGGAGTTGCATAATCGAATGGGAAGAAATACTTAATCATATAGTTATATTGTTGTAATAGTGTATTGACTTCTTAATGTGGGATATAATACTTTTTTATGTTTAGAAACGTAAAGAAACACAACTCTTTGATCTCTATATATTCTGATACTGAGGCTATCTATACATAATAATACACACTTTAGGAACAAATAAGGCATTCCATTGGCAGTAATTACTGTATATTGAGAACTTGCCCCTTCTGACTGAACAGGCAGTTTCTATTTGAAAGGCCCTGGTTACCAAATAGTGAGTCAAATTGTGTTATTTTTATCCACTCAAGTTCTATGCTAAGAAATATTACAGAGTAAGTATTCAACAGTGAAGAATATAAAGACTTCTACATTGATGTGTACTTTACCTAAAAAGAAACTATTTATCTGACTCTTGCAAGATTTGAGCTTTTCAAGAGTTAGATTTCGTGTGCTATTTCTGTAGTTAACTGAATTGAAAGGGGCAGCGTTCTTAGTTAAAAGCTAAGGTAAAATTATGAACTAATTTTTGGTTTAAACATGAGAGATTTATCATATGAGCACATGTAAAATTGATGGAAAATGGCAACTTTAGAAATCAGTTAAAGCTTCTCAAATAAATCATTTCTTTCTGTTTTAAATTATGATTCATATATACATCAATTTCTTTGTTAAGTTGTAAGTTCTAATGGGCAAGAATAATATCTGCACATTTTTGCATATAGCATATTTGCTAAAATATATTTATAAAAGGAATTGTTGAATTATTATAAATGTGATAAAAACTGGAATAGCATGATTAAGTAGCCACACTGTTCAGTAAAGAGAAAAATCAAAACCATTGGCAACATGTGAAAAAGATGCCAACAGAAATGTTGAAATGTTCATTTGGACTTTCTAGGGGTACATTATTATATGAAATCCATTAAGTCAAAGCTTTGCTCATTTCCTCAAAAAGTGTATATTCTTTAGAATTTGCAGAAAAAAAAACCCATGCTAGGAACCCCACACTAGGTATCTCAGTAAATCGAATCCTCTGGACCACACATAATCTACATGTCAAGCCTGTTTTCCCACTGTTATACATCTGCAATTTATATCTCCTGAATATGTTTGAAAGCCCATAGAATACATAATTTCAAATTGTGTCTGTAATAGCTACTTAATTTCTAGGGTTCATGCACAAAGTTAGGCTCCAAAGTAGTAGGTTAGTTGCTCATGTGCTGGTGTTGGAATCTTGCTAATTTTCAAGGAAAGCTGATCTGTGCTAAGGCAAAAGTGGAGGGCAGAGTCCAGGCCTGTGCAGGCGTTAGGACAGAGGTCTCTTTCTAGCAGGCCCAGGGACACATTATTTCACCCTGTGGAGCAAGAAAAGATAAAGCCTGAAGGCCAGATTTCTGGAAATGCTATATGAAATTTGAAAACAGACTTCCTATGAAATGTAACTTTTTCTCATTAAACTAATGACGGGAGAACAGCTGTTGACGTTAGTTCAGTGAGCTTTGGGGTTTTCTCTTATTACATTTTTCATAATATACAAGTGTTAGTGTTAGGATAAAATCTTGGGCTTGCACTTAGGTGACCTGAATTCAATTCCCTTTGCAGCACTAATAGGCTGTGTGGCTTTCATCAAGCCTTTCCTCTGTCATGCTTCATTGCCACTTATGAAATAGGGACAGTAATACGGTGTCTTTTAGAGATTTTCTAATTTTTGTTTTAGCTATTCTGTTAAAAGGGAAACAGGTCTGCCACTTTTATTAGATGATTTCTTGTCCTTTTCTGACGCTCTATCTCTAGACACTTGTGTGTTAGTTTGCACATGTGCACACACATTTTTTGTGGCTTAATGGAAAATATTTGGGGCTAACCTTCCATGCAAAGGTGCCCCAGTCTTTAAGATCATCTAAAATGTCCTTGTGTAAATCTTTATGTAACATTTTTTCAGTCACAGTGAGTTTATTTGATTTTGCAGTTCATATTCCCTACTCTGTATTTATAGGTATACACTGCCCACACCCTTTGGTCAAATCTCAGTTTGCAGATTATTTTTGCTCACATCAGAGGGTCCATTAGTATGCTTTGGCTCATAAAAGTCTGCATTTAGTTTGTAGGAAATGTTTAGGGAATGTGACCTTTAAAACTAAATTTACCCTGGGAGAAAGGTAGTGTGTCAGTAAATCTGTGGCTACACAATAATTTTCATTTTATGAAAAAATTAGACTAATGCAAGTGACTTAATGATTTTAAATTATGTAAATTTATGATTAATTGTATACATTCTATTTCACAGTATGTGAAATAAACTGAGTATTCTATTATTTTTAATTTATTTTATTTTTTAAACCCAATTGCATTCAAAATGGTATGGTGAATTGAAGCAATTCCTCAAAATCTATATTTTTACAGAGGGTAAAAATGGAGGATCTTTAACTGCCTGGTTATTACATTTAAAGTCAAGTCTTCTGACTAGCTTGCACTGTTTCTATTTAAAAAAAACCTCAGTGAATTCTATTGTTCTAAACACTTGGTATCTTCCTGTTGTGATTAAACTGACCTAGTTCCATTTACTGGGGATTCAACAAAGCTTAATGTAGTGTTGAAGTGGTGAATTTATCAAACATCAATTGCAAATTTAAAAAATAAGGTTAAAATAGGACCTAAACTACCACACACCAAAAAGTAAAATATTATCAAAGGCTGTGATGCGGGCAGTGGGCTGATGCTTATGGAACTTTTTGGTCTTACTACATTTCCCAGTATCCTGAAGCAGCTGGCTTAGTAGAATAGTGAAATGGCCTTTTGAACACAGTTACAGTGCCAGCTAGATGCCAATACTTGCAGGGATGGAGAAAGGTTTTTCAGGAAGCTGTATAGGCTCTGAGTTGACATTCAGTGAATGGTGCTGTTTCCTTCATGGCCAGGATTCATATGTCTAGAAATCAAGGGGTGGAAATGGGAGTGGTACCACTCACTATTACCCCTAGTGATTCACTAGCAAAATTTTTGCTTTGAGTTCCTGTAACCTTATGCTATGCTGACTAGAGTTCTTAATTCAAAGGGAGGAATGCTTCCATCAGGAGATGCAATGATTTCATTGAACTGGAAGTTAAGCCTGCCACCCAGCCACTTTGGGCTCCTTTTGTTTCTGAATCAGCAGGCAAAAAAGGAAGTTACTTTGCTGGCTGGAGTTATCGATTCTAACTATCCAGGGAAAATAGGACTGCAACTCCACAATAGAGATAAGAAAGACTATGTCTGGAATACAGGAAATCCTTGCCATTTGATTAAAGTCAGTGGAAATTTACAACAACTCAATTCAGGCAGGACTACTAATGGACCAGATCCTTCAGAAGTCGACAGAAGTCGACATTTGGATCACCGCAACAGGAAAAGAACCATGACCAGCTACCAGCTAAAGGCAAAGGAAATACAGGATAGAGAGTGAAAGGAAGTAGTTGTAAATCCATCTATGACCACATGACCAGTAACAGAAATGAGGTCTCTGTCAAGTGTTACTTCCTTATTTTGTTATGAATATGTATGTGTATGTGTATAGAAGATATCTTTGTTTTCTTCTCTTTCTTATCTCCTTATTATGTAACAAAAGATATATTGACTTTATATCATAGTGTTTAAGTACCATTAACTTTATATCATAAAATGTAAGTTATAGAATATCAAAGAGAAGAGTAAACATCACCATGGACTTTGCAACCCTTCTGGGGAAAGGGTTGGTGCATTTTCTGTCACACACAGGTTAGTTGTATCATGTTATGTAAAAGTATGACCTTGTCATTTTTATTTGGAGATTAACATGGTTTAAGAAAATGTACATGGGTGCCAAGCTGAAAAGGGATGGGTTTGTGATAGATTAATTTTTTTGTGCCAACTTGGTTAGGCCATGGTACCCAGATATTTGGTCAAACATTATTCTAGATGTTTTTGTGAAGGTATTTTTTTGAGGAGATTCACATTTAAATCAGTAGACAGATAAAGCAGATCACCCACAGTGGGTTAGCTGCATTCAACCAGTCAAAGCCTTTAATATAAAAGACTGACTTCTTTGGAAGAAGAGGGAATGTCACTAGCAGACTGTCTTTGGACTTGAACTGCAACATCAATTCTTTCCTGGGTCTCCAGCCTGCTGGCCTACCCTGCAGATTTTGGACTTACTGTCTCCACAATTGTGTAAGCAAATTCGTTAAACCAAATTTATTTTTCTCTTACTTGTTCTCTTTCCCTCTCTGTCTATATATATGCATGTATACACACATATCCTATTAGTTCTGTCTCTCTGGAGAGCCCTATCTAACACAGATGAGTTTCCGAAACAATGGAAAAACCATTAATAGTGATAAGCCGTCATAAGTAACATAATGGGATTCCACTAAGATGTAAGCTCAATGATGGGAAAGTATCTGTCTCTTGATTACTGCTCTCTACAGCACATAAAATATTCCCCAGCAAAGAAAAGGCAGTCAAAAAATACTTGTTGAAGTTATGAATGAGAAGCCTGTGGAGAAGAGTCATCACTTGGTAAATGAAAAGTTATGCACAAAGCTTATGAAGGGAATAGTCAAATCTGTTAAATACTTAAAAGGTAGATGTGATGATTATTTGGTCATTGATGGAGTGGATTTACTGAGAAATACAGAAATAATTACTAACAACCTTTAAAAAGTTTGGTAATGAAAGTTCTCACTTGCTGTGCTTTATTCAATTTACTCATCTATAGGTGAGTAAATAGGTGATCATAGTAAAATGGTTGTGATTTTACAACACTAGGTTTGGGGTGCATTGTTACTCAATAGTAACTGGAAATCAAAAGGCAGTTGCTAAAATGTCCAATGGGGGAATAAGCATGTTTCACATGCTATTGCATGTTATCCTCACAGCAAACTTAAAATGAATGTGATATTATTATTATTCCCATTTATCATAGAATATAATTGAGGCACAGATATGAAGATATGATAAAGATTCTCTTCCCAGTGTCACAGAATTAATAAAGGTAGACAGTATTGAAATGCACTTTTGTTTTTCACTTTACAATAGAAAAAAATGTAGAGAAAAGAGAAGATAGAGAGACAAGGAAGAACCCAGGTGGGGATAGTGTCTGTGGGTTTCCCAGAGAGGCTGGTTTCCAAGAATATTACTGCTTCTGAGAGTGAAGGAAAGCAAAACTGTAATGGTGGGGATCAAGTGGAGCTGGTGAACATGGCTGGGAGCCCTCATCAACTCAAGTCCCTCTACCCCGAGTAAGGGGCCCTTGATGTGTCTGAGGGATGAAGGAAACCCATCCTAGGTTAGATTTAGAAGACCACTGTGGGGCATGAGAAGGGAGCTGGCCAAAAAAAAAAAAAAGGCAAAAAGACTACTGAACAACACTGGACGAGGAGTCCATAAGGAATTGCAGATGAAGAATTTGTCACGGCAGCTTCTGCATAGCACTGTGACTTTCCTCTGAGGTGACATCAGTCCAGATACAGGCCTTGAAGAGGTAAGTTTTGGGACTGGTTTAAGGGTAGAGATTTGCAGGATCAGGGTGCTGGAAGCATGTAGTGAAATACAGGGAGAGGGCTATTTATTCAATCATACGATAAATATTTTTATCTCCTACATTCCAGGCTCTCAATAACTATTTGCTTGAGGAGTCAAGGGTGCTGATGAGGTAGTTTCCAAGTTTGCTGGGATGAATTCCTTTCCTCTAGAGAATGAAGGTCTGAATGGGAGCGACAAGCAGTTATATGAGTGTAAGGATGGGCGGGATCCTGACTTATAGGAGACTGTGGTTAGAGAGTGGGGTATAAAGTTTAAAATATCAATGATGCAATATATCTTGATGGTGACAAGGTCTTGAAAAGGGTATAGCTATCTTCAATGCAGTGAACGATGTGATAGACATGAGGAAGTCAAAGAACTGTAACAGCAGACATTATATTTGGCCAATCCTTCTGTTCCTTCAATTTGCTTGACACAAAGACTTTCAGGGTCGACTTTTAATCATGAGTAGCCTGCTTCCAGATGAAAAAAGTGAGGAAGGGGATTCTATAGTCATAGAAAGCAGCTTCATTAGAGGATCAAAATAGAAAAACCCTTTGAGCCAAACTGTCTCAATTATTGCCTTAAAAACAGTGGAAACAGAAAGCATTTATCACAAGAGAAGTTTTGCTCTATCCTAGGTAGAAGTCTCTCTCGATGGCAGCTTCTCAATATATTCACTAATAGTAGATTTTTGAATGAGATCAATCTGTGTTTACAATCACAAAATAATTCATTCAACTATGAATTTGAGCACATTGCTTATAAAATGTACACCCAGGCTTTGAATAGTTATGTGAAGTGTATAACACTTTTGGTATAACTGTGTTCTACATTCTTCTTTTCATGCACACATAGAGGTGAAAAGAACTCTTGATTTGTAGCCAAATAATATTAGCAGTGAACATGCATGTACATGCCTAATTTAGATCTTGGGAATCATCAGACAGCTGGACGAAGGTTATGCTTTTCCCTCTGTCCATTAAAGAATATGAATAAATGGTTTTATGGCTTCATAATTCAGAGTGCATTATATCAGTCAGCCTGAAAAATAAAAATGTTGGTAACAATTCGGCTACAGTTACTCTATAGAGGGAAGTCTCCCCAAGGCAACAATGTATGAAGCTCCTGCTACTAATTACCACCTGTGTTCAACATGCTCATCACGCAAGCCTGAGCCCGATGTGCCACTTTGAGCTCAGGAGGGCACTGTGATACTGAGCAAAGGGAAGCAGCAACTGAGTTCACAGTGACCAGAATAGAGCATGAGTTTATATCGTATCACAAAAGAGGATTGCCTGAAGTGGCTGTTCTGAGGCTGCTGCTGCTCAATGGAGCAATTTAGTAAAGTAGGCAGAATCCATGCTTTTGGCAATACTTACCTCTATGCTGGACATGCCAGCTTCTGGACCTTTCTGATGTATGGCCAACAACATGATCTTCCTCTTCTCTGTTTCTACCATCCCTGCTTTAATCATATCATCAGCACACATCCAGCCTGCTAGATATTCTTCTAACTGACCTCCTCCTTCTCTCCAGACACTCTAATCATTTTTTAAAAGTATGTATCTAAAAACACTGAACTTATTCTTTTGTAAAGCAGAGAATGCTAGCTGTTTCCTAATATCTATCTTCTCCTCCTTTGATGTAACAAACACTTAAGCTGAAGAATACATTTCCCTGCTTGCTTTGTAGCTAGGTGTGACCATGTGACTAAACTTTGTCCAAGGGGCTATGTAAAGAATTGGTGGGTGCAAGTTCTGGCTCATGGACTTGAAAACAAAAGCACTATTTCATCCTCTGCCCTGTTCTCCTTTAGTGCTGGCTAGAATGCCGATGTGATGGTGGGGGGCTGCATCAACCATCTGAGATACCTGCTTAAGGTGGCAGAGCAACAAGGTGGAAGGGGCCTGGGACTCCAGCAATGGGATGCTGCCCTAACAGCTCTGGATTACTTATCCTTGGATTGCTGTGAGGGAGAGGAATAAATTTTCACATTGTTTAAGACACTATTACTTTGGCCTTTATTTTAACAGTAAGTAAAGGCAATATATTCTGAGGTACCTTGGTTAAAGGTCTTCATTGGCTCCCCATTGCTTAAAGATAAGTCCATGCCCCAAATGAGGGCATTTAAGTTTCTTCCAAATCCAGGTTCAGTTCACCTTTTCAGCATAATTCTCTGCCAATAGCCTAGTCCTGATGGCACCACATCTGTGCTGCTTTCCTGGACTCTGCAATTTTTTCCTGGCAGACTGAATTTTTTCTTCCTCAGTGCTTCCAGAGCAGTGTGTGTGTGTGTGTGTGTGTGTGTGTGTGTGTGTGTGTGTGTGTGACTTGCATTTCCTTATAATTGCTTATAGTATAATTTGAGTTTATCTCCCTCTCTAGAGATTATTCCACTGCATCTTATTCACCAGAAGTAGACTCCACCCTAGCCCTCTACCCCTAGTTTTGTCACAGGTGGAGTGAACAGTGGATTAGCAAAATGGACAAAAAACTGAGGAATGTGTTTTTCTTAAGGAGTGGAACTCTGAATGAAATTGAGTAAAGAGGAATGGAATGAAGGTTTGGAGGCATGTTGCATCATTTTTAATTAAAATGGCTTTGGTGATGAGGTGGGGGTGCTGAGGGAGGCCAGGAAATCAAACAACATGTGGCAGATGCCTTTGGTTACTGGATTCAAGCTGGAAAAACAGTCCTTGACAGGCTGCAGTCATTATTGTGTATTTCTAGAACTTTGAAAGATAAGGAGGAAATCTGCAGACAAGCTCCATAGGGAAGAAAGGACTTGGGCTGGTGGAGTCCCTGAGAACAGGCATGTCTGGCTTCACTGCATGTGGAGATGTCCTCCAGTGTATCCGACATTGACAGCTGCCCTTTGACATGCAGCTTCCTGCCGTCTCTGACTGGCGCAGGTCCACTTGATGCCCAGTGCAAGATATCACAGCCAATGTGTTTAGTTTAATCTGCTTTATATACTGCCCAGCACTTCACCTTAAGCAAAAGATATCCTCAGTAGTCAACATTTGTGAATGAAGAATGTACCTGTCTTAGCATTTTAAGTTTCTATTGAAAAATTCTCCTTTGCTTACATACATATCCCAAACATCTAAGCCTTATGAGAAAGGTCTCTGGAATAGAGTCTTATGAATTCTAGTTATATGAAAGCAGGAGACAAGGGAAAAATTGTACCTATCTAAAGTTACAAACTGATTTCGAAAATAAACTTTGACATGAAACCAATGATACAATTTTTGTTCTTGTCCTTTTCTTTTTAAACTTCTGAATAAGCTTAGCACGGTATAGAAGGCAGAATTTTTCATGAATGAATTGAAGCTTGTCACATAAACATAGTGACTAAGAATGAGTTCAAGGCCAGATTGTGTGGGCACAGGGCCTTGTTCCATTCTATTATAATAGTATACTTAAACATGCTGCACTTCAGTTTCCTCATATGCAACATGGAGACAATATTACTGTCTACCACATAGCCCTCCTGTCAGAATTAAATGAGATAAAGATATGAGGGCTTCCTTCAGTGTTGCTGAAAGTACAATAAATATTAAAGCTACGCATTTTTATTTTATGTAACATTCATTTGTCTATTAACACTCCCTTTCTTTGACTTCTTACACAGTCTGAGACAATGAACTGTTTCAAGGATCATATCATATCACAGGGATTGGTGACCTTATAAAAAGAGAATGTCAAGCATCCCATATCGTCTTTTGTGGTAAGATAGTATGTGACTTGGGAGAATGCAAGTGCGGGTCTAAGTAATGACTCCAGATGTGGTTTAGAAAAATAGTTTCTATTATGTTGGTTTTTGTGAAGGTGTGGACAGGACTGGCATATGGTGGAATTTTGTAGGTAGGTTTTTTTAGGTGGCTAGTGGATAAAATCATGAATGTGGTGTGTGGGGGTGGGGAAAGGAATCTTAAAATTAACCCAGACGGCATTTTTTGGCACAAATCTTTATGTTGGCCACCCCTGAGACAGTGTAAGGGTTTGAAATGGACTTATGCCCAAATTCTTTATGGCATAATTTAAAAGATTTTAAGTAAAATGTGCTGCCACAATGAACACACACTGCTTTATGAATGGCCTGATTATTGCTGTGGTTCCGCATAGCTAGAACAGACTGGTCTAAACCAGACAAATTCATGCAGAGTCATGAAGTTGTACTTTAAATCTATTCCTCACTTCCAAATCCACTTTCAACTACATTAATGTGTAGATATTGCAATGAAATATACTGGGTTGTGCACCTTTTAAACAACTCTATGCGTGTCACTATTTAATGTGGAGCATGAAAGAATCTCTGATTACCAGGCTTCAATGTGCTCTTCCAGCCTGTGTGGCTCTGACTGCAGGAAATAGCAGCTCAATCTTTGAAGCAAAGACTTTTCCTTTGCCTCTGAGAGTAAATAGCCTGAGAAAGAGAAAGCTTCCTCACTCCAAGGAAGTCTAGATAAATGTGTGATAGGAAGGGAGAGGGCTGTCTGTTGTGTCTGTCAGAATGACACCTGAAGGAAGGCAGCTGGCTCCTGTGGAGTGATAAGGCGAAGGTTACTGAGGCAAAGATAAAAAGCTCACTTGGTCAAAATACATCACAAACGGAAAGATCTCCAACAGGAATTTTTAGCGTTGCACCCCAAGTCTTTCTCTGAACAAAATGACAATCTGTTCTGATTTTTTGAGGGAATATAAGAAGCATACTCCGCTAAGTGGAACAAGGGCAGAAAACACACACACACACACACACACACACACACTCCTGAGAAGCTGGTTTCACTAGCTGTAGGTGGCCGACTCCTTCTCTAATGGAACACTTTAAGAGAATAAGTCATTTCAAAGAAGCAGGATAGACAAGAGAGGATTTTATTGCTTGAAACGGGAATTTTATTGCTCCAGACACAAGCATTGTTGTTGTTGGTGGTGGTATTGGAAGTCCTGGAGCTCCAGGAATAAAACAACTAGATGCATAGGGCCATGGAAAATCTCACTAACTCAATTCTGTGGTTGATGTTTTTCAAACATCTTAAAATCCTTACCTGCTTTTGACAAACAGGCACTTTTCCTTACTGTGAGATATCTCCTTTCCCTTCACAGTTACCGCCCAACTCCATCCCAATGTTGCCTCCACAGTGATTTTATGAGGTATTATTTTCTACTGTATATATTCCCTGAAAATTTAGTTTCCCCTACCTGCAAAATACAGTCATATTATCACAGTGACCAGGTTCTTTTCATACTGTAGAACACTCCTTAGGTCCACACATATGGGATTACCTCTCTAGCACTCCTCTGCACCTCCGTGTACTTTCCCAACCATTATTTATTTATTTATTTATTTTTTAAGACTTACATGCTTCTTGATAATTGCTTTTCCTAAAAGTTATCTGACAAAATATGTGGTGTAATAAGCAGGTCTTAAAGGGAGACAATTATTACTTCCATCTTTGAAAGAATAAAAAAAAACATTCTCTCTTGCTAGCTTTTTTGAGATGCCATTTTAACCTCTATATTTTTTCCATTCCTTCCAGCAGCAATCCATAGTGTAGCAGGAATTCCTGAAGAGGCTACTGTTTGACCATTGCCAATTCAGATCTGTCTTAATGAGCAAGGCCACCAGGGGGAGCTCCTTGAGTGAGCGTCTGCGGGATCTCAGGAAAAAGGCAAGGCAAAACATGAAGAGGGTAGTGTATTTGCAAGACTGACATTCCCTGCCTTCAGGGGCCACAAAGACCACCTTCCCCGCTGGGCAGCTTACTGGGTAGGAAAAGAAACGCCCCACTAGAAAGAAGGAAATTGTTAGTGTTTAAAAGGAGATGGACAGGAAGCAATGCTTGACTGTTGGATGGCCAGGGGTGGTGGTGGTAAGGAGTTGATTACAGCATAGTGGGCATTCTGGTAATTTCTAGGCCTAGATTTTAGGAATCCATTAAAAGTCAGGGAGCTCCAGGAATAAAACAACTAGATGCATAGGGCCATGGAAACATGAAAACATGGATGAGAGCAGATAGCTTTATGAGGAATGGGGTAGTGGATCAGTACCAGGTGGTGGTCTACTGATGGAGTAAGTAACAGAAGTGAACGAGGGAAAAGGGGTATTTCTGTTGGCACAAGTGGAGTTTGTTAGAGCAGAGTGCATGAGCAGCTACAATGATACCAATGTAAAAGACTAGATCATTCGTTTTCGAAATGATGGAGGAAATGGTAAATGTCACAAGATGGAAGAAAAGGAAAAATGCATAGATGAATTTTTCCACAGACTTTTTTGAGCTAGAAAGAAGGAATTTGAAGAGACTAGAAGTTCCAGGAATTCTGCTCATAGTGCGTGAGTCAGATTTACTGTTCTGATACCATATTAAAATCCTATCATCTAGGATGACTTGGGAAAGACTATGCTGAATATTTTGTTTGTACGTACCAATCAAACAATATCTATACTTCCTGTCACAAAGACAGGGTATTTAGACCTTTAAATATGATATGATAACTTTCGATTTCCAGCATGTCTATTAATAATAATTTTCCCCCATATAAGCTATATTTTATTTGGTAAAACAAAAATGAGAAAGAACCAGAGCAAACTAGAAGGGCTAGCATTTTTCTCCCCCAGTTTGTGGGAGAGAATTCCATCTTAAATGCCACATTTATCTGTAGCTCAACTGTAGTAACACTGGCTGCAATCTCTCAGAAAGACAGTGAACCATTCCATCAAGCTAAGCAATAGTCTTCCACATAGTGGAGTGACTGGCAGACACATCAATGATGGCTCTAGCTGAAAGTTATGGTTGGCACAGCTCTGGCACTGCAAACGTTAGGAAGATGCCACCACAATAAACCTTCCATGGCCCCATGAATGAAGCTGCAGTAGTCTGCCCCTGGAACAGCTGGCTTAAAAGAGTTCTGTGTGCAATAGGCTTTTCTAGACCTGCAGACTGAAGTAAAAGCTGTGTGCAATTAAAAAAATATTTTAAATGTTGTGTTTGTATTTTGACACCAATGTTGGGGACACTAGGATAGTTGAGGCACATTACTGACTCCTTTCCAGCATGCTTTCTGAACTGAAAAGGGAGTGAATTCAGAGACTTGTGGCTTTAGGTGAGTTAGACCCTTACAAGTATGTTTGATTTTTCTTTCTTTCTTTTTTTTTTTTTTGCCTAACAAGCTATTTCTGAATTCATGAGTAAAAAAGTTCAGGATCAAAAATGAGCTGAAGGAAGATGAGAATGAGAAAGGAGAGACAGAAAGACAAAAAGAAATAGACAACGAACAGGCAAAGAGAGGGAGAGACACGGTATCCAAAGGAAAATTTATAGATATGCTTTCAAATGTCAAAATATTTCTTACCTCTTTTAGTTTATTATACTTTATTTAGCAATACCTATCACATTAAATTATAACTATACAAATGACAATCCTTTGAGTATCTATGATTAACTTTTCATGTGTTTTTTTCTGCAGAATACAATTACTAAGAATTCTTATATATCTATTTTGAACTATTTAATTTTACATGTAGTTATACAATTACTCCCAATTTCATTTAAGACCCTCAAATAAAGAAACAACAATATATGTTGTGTGTTGTGTCACAATTCATTGTGCTTTGATGAATGATTGTGAGTGCTTTACCATTTGCATATTACTCAGCTCCTTCATTTTATTGATAGGAAAATAAGCTCAGAGAGGGTTAAGTTTTGTTTATGAATTTGGCTCAATTATATATTAATTATTAGCTCATGTGTTCATTCTCCACAGACCTTCATATCTTTCATTGCAGTCTTCTCCCAATTCTTTAATTTCAAGTTAAGACAGAAAAGCTGGAGTCTAGGTGTCACACGGAAGTATTTTGGGGACAACCCCTGCTGAATGAGTTACATTTCCTATACTTGGCGCTAGCCAAGGTCATCTGAGCTTGGGAGGAAAGGTGTAGGGGAGGGGAAGAACAGCTCTTTTGCATTTGTACAGGGTCTACACTCACCTGGTTCTCCCTTTGGTGCTGTGGGGGATATCAATCAAGACAGGAAGGGACCTGTGGCCTGCTGTCAGTCCAGAATCATGGGAGTTGGTAGCCTCACAGATGTGCTTATGCTGTAGTGTCTTGGATTCCCTACAGTGAAAGTGGCTGAGGCAGGGTGCAGAGAGTGTCTGAGGATAGCTCCACATCTTCCTCCCTACGGAGAATCTCATGATATTTGATTGTTTCTTCATTCATTCACTCATTCATTCATTCATTCTACAAGTATCTGTAGAGAATAGATGTCTGAGTAGGACTAAGAATCGGCAGTGCATGAAAGCCCTCATGGACTGTACTCTAGTGAATCTTCCCAGACATCCAAAGAAGCGCTCACTGCCAGGTAAAGTAGAGGTGGTGGTAAAGGATGGTAGCTTCTGATGGCATGATGGAACAGCAAGTTGCCAGATGGAGAAAAATCCTCAACATGGATGGCAACAGAGAGGTCATTGATAGGATAGGTTGTGTCTGTATATCTCACCAGATGCCAGATAAGAGGAAGTGAGTGCCTCCTGTCCCACTAACTCACATCGCCTTCTATGTGTCCTAACGCTTAGACTAACCCCAGGATGAAAGAATGGCAGGGGGCAATGAATGAATTTGAGGAGAAACTAGTAAATTTGTAAAATAACTTGGAAATTACTAAAGTAACTGAATTTCTTTTGGAAATGACTCAATTACTTTTTTGTGTTTGTGTGTGTGTGTGGAGTATTAGGTGAAATATAAAGAAAGTAACAATCCTGTGTGGTTTTGTTTTGGTGTGTTTTTTTTGTGTGTGAATATATTCCTGCCACAGTGACAAAAACAAAAATAAAAAATATATCAAATAACCCTGAAGTGTGGTGAACACCTCTTGTGAGTATCAGGGGCAGGTATAGGTTTTATATATATATATATATATATGTATATATACTTTTCAGGTCTAGAATATCTATATGTCAGGTCTAGTATGTATATATTTTCATAGGAGAAATTTTCCAGAGGAAAAACTACTCGTAAGCTGGAGAGAAGATTTGAACCCAGAAGATCTGTCTGATTTCCAAACTTGAGATTTATCTTTTGGAGGAGAAAGCAAAACAAAATCTAGTTTTATTAACTGATAATATTAACGATACCAATCCTTTGCACACATGGGCACTCTGGGTGTGTCAATTTAAAGAAAGTATACCTGAAAAATGAAAGAATGTGCTTCTTGCCAACAGATGCTGCACAATCTTATAGGGTGTCTAGTGCACTCCCTTGGGATAGACTGGGAGAGTTAGGTTTGCAAATAGAATTTACAATTTTAAAACACCTAATTTAGGTCTATGCTAATAATTTAAAGTTTCTGTATTTGTATTTTTTTTAATAATGTCAATGTTTGAGCTTGTGAATAACTTTTTTTTTTTTTTTTTGAGACAGAGTCTTGCTCTGTCACCCAGGCTGGAGTGCCATGGTGCAATCTCGGCTCACTGCAACCTCCACCTCCTGGGTTCAAGCGATTCTCCTGTCTCAGCCTCCCAAGTAGCTGGAACTACAGGCATCCACCACCATGCCCCACTAATTTTTGTATTTTTACTAGAGGCAAGGTTTCACCATGTTGGCCAGGCTGGTCTCAAACTCCTGACCTCAGGTGATCCACCCACTTTGGCCTCCCAAAGTGTTGGCATTACAGGTGTGAGCCACCGTGCCAGGCCTGGCTTTTTCTTTAGAAACAAAATCTGTAGCACAGGTAAGACTATAACTCTCAAATGGATCATTATTTTTGTTAAAAGTTAGCTCATAATACTGAATCCACTTCATTGGAATGAATGTCTTCTGATAAATGTTCTTGACACTACAGTAAATTCCAGCTGAGCCACAGTTATTGTTTTAGGGCTTGAAATGTGATATAGGCCAATTACATTTTTATTTAGGCAGTGCTGTATAAATTCTGAAAGATGATATGCCAATGAAAAAAATATGACTTGTATAGGGAAACTATTGCTCTTATTTCCATGTGGTGGTGAGAGTCAATATACATAAACCAGAAGATAACCAGTTAAGAGATATGTGTTTTTAATATGTTAATGTTTTTACTTTTTTTCTCTTGAGAATATACATCAATGACTCTCATTTCCCATTAATTTGTAGAAGTGTCCTAATGAGAATAGTGGAATCCTCTATCAATTCAAGTTTTCAGAAACACAACACTGCCTTTCAATCCATTTTCTTTTCAGTAATATGCTATTGAGACCATAAACTATAAGACAAATGTACAATTATTCAGTTTTACTTGCATTCTTCAATAAATTCTTGATATAAAAATTACAAATAATGTTCTTTGAATGAAAAAGTAACTCAAATATTTTGCAGATAGCATTACAAAGTAAATCTTGGCAGAGTCAACATGTTACCACTTCAAAACATTTTCAAGAGCCTGTACCATGCTTTCTCTAGCAGCTGCCCTACCCACTGCTAGCTCCAAGGCTGCACATCAGAGTCCAGGCTCTGAGACAGCAATGAGCTCAGAGCTCTGCCAGCACAAGAGCCAGCTCCAGGCATGAGAACCTGTTGGATATGCACTGACTTGGTTGTTCTGCTTGGGGGCATTGGTTGAGGATTCCTGCTCCAAGATAACCTACTAGATGCAGCCAGGAGGAACATCTCCCATATTATGTAAAGAGACCTAATCTGTGACTCACTGGCATCCATGAAAGGGATGCGAAGAATGGAAACAATATGGAAAACATATTTCAGGATATCATCCATGAGAACGTCTCCAACCTAGCTAAAGAAGCCAACATTCAAATTTGGGAAATGCAGAGAACCCACACAAAATACTTCACAAGAATATCTTCCCCAAGACAGATAATTATCAGATTATCCAAAGTCAAAATGAAAGAAAATGTGTTAAAAGACTCAGTGGTATGCTGTCTTCAAGAGACCCATCTCACATGCCATGACACCCCTAGGCTCAAAATAAAGGGCTAGAGAAACATCTACCAAGCAAACGGAAAACAGAAAAAAAAGCAGGGGTTGTAATTCTAATTTCAGACGAAATGGACTTTAAACCAAAAAAGATCAAAAAAGACAAGGAAGGGCATTACATAATGGTAAAGGGTTCAATACAACAAGAAGACCTGTCTTAAATATATGTGTGCTGAACATAGGATCACACAGATTTATTGATATGGTTTGGCTGTGTCCCCACCCAAATCTCATCTTGAATTGTAGTTCCCATAATCCCCATGTGTTGTGGGAGGGATCCAGTGGGAGGTAATTCAATCATGGTGTGGGTTTTTCCCATGCTATTGTGATAGTGAATAAGATTCATGGGATCTGATGGTTTTATAAAAGGCATTTCCTCTGCACACACTCTGTTGCCTGCCACCATGTAAGACGTGCCTTTGCTCCTCCTTTGCCTTCCGCCATGATCATGAGGCCTCCCCACCCATGTGGAACTGTGAGTCCGTTAAACCTCCTTTTATTTATAAATTACCCGGTCTTGGGTATGTCCTTATAGCAACATGAGAATGGACTAATACATTTGTAAAGCAAGTTATTAGAGACCTTCAAAGAGACTCAGTCTCCCACACAATTATAGTGGGAGACTTCAACACCCCATGGACAGTATTAGATAGATTATCAAGGTGGAAAATTAACAAAGATATTCAGAACCTGAAATTAACACTGAACCAAATGGACCTGATAGATATCTACAGAACTCTCCACCCTAAAACAATAGAATATAGGTTCTTCTCATTGCCACATGGCACATACTCTAAAATAAACCACACAATTGGACATAAAACAATCCTCAGCAAATGCAAAAGAACTGAAATAATACCAAACATTAAAATAGTATTCAAGACTAAGAAAATTACTCAAAACCATACAATTACCTGAAAATTAAACAACCTGCTCCTGAATGACTTTTGGGTAAATAATGAAATTAAGGCAGTTATATAAAGTCATCAACGCAATAAAAGAGCTTTTTCATCTGTTAGGGGGAAACTGGCATCAGCTCCTGCCTAAAATTCTACCATCATTATTAGCAAATTTTCTGAGTGTAGGCTGAATGTCAGTTTGGTTATCTGGATACCCAACTCCACATAAATTTATTGAATGAATGAAGAAGATCCTAGAATTTTTGTTTTCTTTTTTATCTGATATAGGATTCAGCTGATACATTCTTACAATAACTAGTCTAGCCACTTTTGTAGGAATAAGAGTGAGAAAGAGAGGGCTTTCATACTCATTTCAAATGTAATGTGTAATCCTTAGCACAACCAGTGGAGAAGAGATGAGAGCAAAAGTTGGAAGTATTACTTTTATGCTTAAGGTTTAACTAAGATAGGAAATTTGCAGGCTATGTTAAATGCATTGCATGACTGTCAAATACCCATAGTCTCCCATGCTGGAAGTTTGCCTTTAATAAAAACAGTAGACAGGTATTGGAATTTATCAAGACTCCAGCCTTAGCACGTAAGATTTGTATTAGAAAAAGGGGGCTCTTTTGCAAATATGATATACACAAAGGCACTGTCTCTAGACAGACCTTTCTCAGGACTTTTAGCTTGCCATATCAAAAAACGTTGGATTTCGATTTGCACTCATGCCCCTTGGCCTAGCTACTTTGTGCATGACATAACCAGTTCAGCCTTATACAGGTGCCCTGGACAGAAATTTTATCCTTTATATTTGAAGGAATATTTTTGTTTTGGCCATTAGTAGACACTCAATAAATTTCTCAGTTGATAGAGTGCCTGCAACACATGTTTCTAATCATTATTTACTGTTAAATGGCTTTAAAAAGAAGTAAATGCACATATATGACAACATACTTTTAAGAAGGAAAAGGATTTTGGCCAAAGGAAAAGGATATTGGCCCAAACCAAGACCTAGAATAACTTACCGTATAGAAATCAAGTACTCACAGTAGACTACAGATTGAACATTCATTAACCTTATAGGTGCTGCTGATAAATAAGCCTACAAACAGTTAAGGATCTTAAATGATCTTTTCACCACATTCAACATGCCTTACCAGTTTCATGCCTTATATTTTTGGAAGATTATTGAACATTGAGTGGGTATGAAAAAATAGACAAAAGAGCAAGGATATTTTCTTTTTTCAGAAAAGGACAAGAACAAAGTAATTGTAAAGAGACAATAACAACCAGTTTTCAGACTTTAGTGAAATACCATGGATTCAGTTTCACTAAAGATATAATTCAAATATTAGTACAGTCATTGGCCGTTAGAATTGGTAAAGACTTGGCTATGCTATCCTTTCTTAAATACTGGATGAATAATGACCTAGGGAATTAAATATTTAAACAAACGTATCTCAGGGTTGGTGGTCCCTTAATTCCAGTTGGCTAACATTTTTTCAGTTTCTTCTTGTTTGCTGATGAATAACTAACAGAGAATGGACTATTTAAATCAAGTTATATAAATTTAATGTACTCAATACATTAGGTTATATAGGGTTATCTGTAACCAATTAAGGTCCTAATTCTACTAAATTAAAAGTCACCAGAGAATGAAAAAGACAATGCCCTATCTATTTATTGTTAAGAAGCTGGTTCCTTAAATTGTGCTGTTACTATACTTTATTTTCTAAGATATTATTTGCTATTCAACCTCTCTTCTAGTTAAGAGTATAATTCTTTGTTTTGCTAAAACTTTTTAAATACATGATATTTATATACCCATTATTATTGGGTACATGTGATATTTTGATATACAAATAGAATGTGTAGCAATCAAGTCAGGGATTTAGGGTATCTACCACCTCAAACATTTATCATTTCTTTGTGTTGGGAACATTTCAAGTCCTCTCTTTTAGCTATTTTGAAATATACATTATTGTTGACTATCAGCACCCTATTGTGCTATCAAACATCAGACTGTATCTCTTCTATTTGGCTGTGTGTTTGTGCCCATTAACCAACCTGTCTTCATCCCTTCTTCCCACTTCACGCCATTCCCAGCCTCTAGTAACTATCATTATACTCTCTGCCTCCATGAGATTATGGTAACTCTTAAATATTGGAAACTGGAACTCAAGACAGAGTGTTCTTGAATTTTCTTTGTATTCTTTGGAGTTTTTTGTTAATGGAAATACTTGTGGTTTTTCTTATCTATAGAGCACTGCTTTCAGATTTTTCTTAAATAGAAATATGTTTGATTACTGTATTAAAGATTTCACGCTCTTCAAATGCAGATAGTCCATTTACTGTGCCTTGGAATAGCAGAAGCTTTGACATCTTGGGATTATTACTCACTTTTAAAAAAATTAATGCCATCATATAATCTCAAAGTGTTCATTAGCTGTTCAGTCACTTGTGGATTTTTTAAAATATATTTATGCGATGGTCAACACTTCATCCACAGACAAATTATTTAAAATACAAGTTATCAGGTAATACCAGTGTGTTAAATTATTTTTACTAATAGGACAATATGAGAAATTGTAGAATAAACAATTTGCAACTGCTTGGCTGGAGGCAGGTCCTTCTTGTTGTTCTCGTATTAGTATGTAATGAAATCCATTTTCAGTACACCTTGACTTAAAAGAAGAAAGAGTATTGAACAGGGGTGAAGGATGTCCTTAGATCTATGTGCAAATTATAGCCCTGCAACCTGGGCAGATCTCCTCATTTCTTTTGGCTTTTCTTTGTCCTCTTATAAAACGGACATGCAAATCCATAGTTATCATGAGTAGTAAAGTGGATGTTTTAGGTGTTATGAATATTAAATTTGATGGTTTTAGGCCTATTTTAGATGTCACCCTCGTAGGATGCCTTCCCTGATCTGCTTCATTGATTGGTATAGGTGCCTCTACTCTATCTTCTCTTTGCACATGGGGCATATTTTTGTCATAACATCCATCATAATCATTTGCTTTCTTGTCTACCCCCAGCTTCACCCTCTATACTGTGAGTTCCAAAAATCACTGTATTTTCATCTCTGTATTTCCAGGTCATCATACAGTGGCTGGTACAAAATAGATGCTTAGATTCTACTGAAAAAAAAATGATTAACAACAAAAGAAGTTGGACAATCTCAATATTTTCTTAAGACAAATACAGTAGTTTCTCCAAGTGTATTATTTATGAAAGAAATTAGCTTTTCTTTATATCTCCAGTGAAAATGAAAACATATTTTAAAATTTTGCAGTACTTATATTACAGCGTAATGCTACAGTCTGGAGGTACAAGTATCTGTTATATTAAGCTTGGGTGAGAAAACACTCAAGAAAGGAATTAGTGTTATGACCTTCTGAAGTATGGAATTAGAAGGTTAGAACGAGGGTGTGGAGGGCATTTGATTATGAATTTTTAAGCCAGAGGTCGCTTTAGAAAAATCTACCTAAAATGCATCATGGTTTATTAAAACAAACAAACAAACACCCAACATATGGATCTGCATTATGATTAACCCAAAGTGGCAGGTCCCTCGCAGGCAGCCTTGACTCATGCTGCAAGCCCACCTTCAGGCCATATTCAACACTTGGGTGAATCTTCTTTAGCTGAACAACGAAATGTGATGGGAAGACACTGGTATTTTGTTAGAATATTTTATGGGGAGAAGGGCAAAGGGCTTTACCTACCATATAGAAAAAATGCACACAGTTCTGTGTTATACACTTTTTGTTTTAAAAAGCCTCTCAGGCTTCTGTCAGCACACCTCTTCTCTCTTCCCACCAAGACTCTAGCAATCTTCTATTTACAGGAGCCATACAAATCTGGCTCTAAACTCACGCTGGCCACCCAACATACCAACACCTGGAAGCTAGCAGACACCACTGATTTAGAAAGCAGTTAAAGAGACTGCGTTGCCGTGGTTTTCAACTTTTACATCTGTCTCTGAGTTAGAAAAATAATTTACACTGTGATCAAGAACACATATATACTCAGGAATATAATTGAAATAAAATCTTTGTAAAATAATTTTTACAATGGACTTATATTTTTCTCTCCTCCTATTCTAACTCCTTCCTTCTCGTCTCTTCTCTTGTCCTGAAGTGTTTAATGTTTTTAAAAAGATACTACTAGTCTGGACCCAGCAGTTTCTCTATATTAGCAGTTTGAAAACAGTGTTTTACTATTGTTTACACGTGGTTTTCAGACTCTCAGTCCACATCTCAAGCATCTTATCAAGGTGTTTATACCACTACAAACAGGGATTTTGAGCGGGGAGTGGGTAGGGAGGATGCTTCTACTATTAAAAAGTAGCATTTAAAAAATATTATTACCTAAGAAACTTGACAACAGAGGAAATAAAGCTGCCTAATATTGATTATTTAGTGCTTCCTTTGAGATATGCTATTTTTAACCTCTTTGCCCAGTTCCTCTTTCCTGGGTCCAGGCAGAAAATGCCTTTAGCCTTGAAAAGCACTGTGCTTCTCATGTTCCCTAGGGCCACTGGCCTGCTAAGGTTTCTCTTCCTGAAAGGCAAAGCCTTTTTTATTATTAATGTTTCTTCAAATCCCAACTATACAATCACTAAAAAGTGGAAAAATGATAAAATATGTGTAAATCCATGTTTAATTTGTCACTTATTCATCACTGAAAACATTCCTTATCTATCTCTTTCTCATATGCACAGTTGTCTTCCTTCGAATTCTCAGGAATGTTTCTGCCTGATGCTTATGTAAGTTATCACAAGCTGTTTCCATATTGGCCATGGGGGATATACTGTTTGCTTGTTTGTTTGTTTTTAAATGGAGTCTTGCTCTGTCACCCAGGCTGGAGTGCAGTGGCGCGATCTCGGCTCATTGCAACCTCCACTTCCTGGATTCAAGGGATTCTGCTGCCTAGCATCCCCAGTAGCTGGGATTATGGACATGTGCCACGATGCCCGGCTTATTTTTGTATTTTAGTAGAGACTGGGTTTCACCATGTTGGCCAGGTTGATCTCAAACTCCTGACCTCAAATTATCTGCTCACGTCGGCCTCCCAAAGTGCTGGGATTACAGGCATGAGCCACCGTGCCTGGCCAGAGATATATTGTTTAGACGCATCATTGGTCTCACTGCCACCACTCCCTTTACAGGTGGCAGCAGGTTGAGGTTACATTGTAATTTATCATCGTTAACATATGTGTGGATATATGAAGGGCACTATGGGGATTTTACATAAATATGGAGCAGCGTGGTTCATGCCTTTAAGGACATTAAAATAAAATTCAATCGGAAGCAGTCACCATATGCAATGCTTAATCATGTAATACGGTGGCCATTTGCTGATGGTTCGACACCATATTTCCAAAGTATTAGTGCTTTCACATGACTCAATCAGCTTCTGCGAAGTTATGCAAAAATTGTTGAACATGGAGCCTTTTATGTTTTCCTATTTCTGCTACCAAATTCATTTAATAGAAATAACTCTTTGAGTAAGTGCACTTGCCTACTGTGGAAAACACTTTATTTGGTGGCAATGTTGAAACAGCCAATATGAATTATAGGCATTTATTGCAATAGAATCAAGAAACCTATTTCCCCCTTCAAAATCAATAGAAAAATTGCTACTTCCACTAGGTATTCTTTGTCTTTGTAAAGACAAATGACAGTGCATTCAATTTCAGGGTAGTTGAAACATTTCTCAACTGGCAAAGTTGTTTGGTCTTCTATTTTACCTGTGCAGATAAAAGGATCCTTTTGCATCTCAAAGGCTAGAGGCAATATTTTTCACAAATAAATAGCATACTAAAGTGATTGTTAATTTTTTAAAAATTAGCCTTTTGAAAAGAGATAGAGAGCACTGAATTTCTGACAGTAAACATTAATGTTTCTTTATCAAAATCTTAAAGTCATGTGTGCAAAGCTGATAGATGTTTTAAAATTCAGGTTATATAGAGATAATATTTTCCATTCATGAAGTTATTAGTAATACTTTATAAAAAACACAAATTTCAGCCTATGCAGACTTTTCTTCTTGGAATTTGAAATGCTTTTATTATTTTTGAATCTAGAATCAGTAGTCTTAAAAGTTTTATACTTGAAAATTTTCTGTTGGATAATTATTAAATATTTTGCTGTCACAATAAAATTGTACCCTGTATAGATGTTGTCATGATTCCTTATTAGCGCTACTGAAAATTTATATGTATAATTTCTCTTATTTAATAAAAGCACATTTATTGTTTGTTTATGAGTATGTGCAAAAATTAGGCAAACAACGGAATCCCATTGATCTGCTGATATTAAAATGCATTTAAATGGGAATGTGTATGAGTACATAAACGTGATTAGTCAGTTCTGGGAGCTATCAGAAACTCACTGAAGCTCAAATAAGTAGTAACCTTTCATATCTTAATTCCTCCCTAAATTGTTTGCATCCTAAGAAAATGTCAAAACAATAGCAAGTACACAGATTTAGTATTTCACCAGTGACTTCCAGAGAGCTAGAAAC
Source organism: Homo sapiens (assembly GCF_000001405.40). Lineage (NCBI taxonomy): Eukaryota > Metazoa > Chordata > Mammalia > Primates > Hominidae > Homo > Homo sapiens. The sequence continues at coordinate 83,940,101 of NC_000005.10, forward strand.
AGGATTTATGAAGAATCCACGTTATGATTTTCATTATTCAATAGCTAATGTTACATGGATAAATACATTATTACTGTTATATTATTGCTTACTACTGACTGGATTTCTTCATCATACTCCTGAGCATCATGAACTGAAAAAACTATAGAAATGATAGCAATATCATCTGATTAACAATGGGCAGATCAGTCCTGGTGCACAATGCTTTATACATGAGGCCAAAAATGACTTTGGATTAAGAATATTCTAGTAAAACTTCTGCATCTAAAAGGAGCAGGAAGAATGCATACATTTTAATAATCTTCAAAAGACCAGTTTAGCTAATATCAATATATATTTAGAGGTTGTTGTAATTTCTATTTTTTCTGTATCCGTTCAACTGTCCTGTGCAAGGCAAAAATGAACCAAGTATGTGGTCAAGAGTAGTGGGCATTCACATTCAGACAATTTGTGTATTCTTATAAATGTGTTTAATTACAACTGCTTCAAAAGAATCCCAGCTTTTCAAAAGTTTATTTTAAGTTTGGAGACTAGACAAGGTCATACTGGTTTTACATCCTACGTGATATAAGTATATATACAAAGAAAAAAACAACATTGGAATATTACACAGCTTGAAGGTTTGCAAAGGTTATTTGTGTCTTAGTTATTTCTGCACTTAATGACACATCAGACGCATTGAGTATATTTCATAAGTTGTTGACTAGCAAAGATACAATCATTAGTAACCCAAGTCTTCAAAATTCACACCAAACTTTATGAAGTCATTCAGAAAGAGAAAGTCAATCCTAAAATTAAAATTGGCAACTATGATAAATACCTTCAAAAGGATGTAGATATAATGGAGATGTTTAAAAGTTTAGTTTCATTAATTGTAAAATTAGCATGTTATATTTACTCAATATAGTGAAGACTAGGTGATTCTTACATGTATTCTACTTATGGTACTGTACTGGTTTTAGTGTGAATTTACATAGAATAAATTTACTTCACTTTCATGTCATCGACATGAATGACACAAAAGCTACTTCATAATACTACTTTACAATAGTTTTCAACATTTCCATATGGTGCGACCCCTTTGCTCTCATCAATTTTGGGTGTCATGAGAACAATAGGTATCCCGTTGGACATGATGTATTGCGAAGAGCATATAAAGCAGAGGGAAAATGAAAAAGCAAGAGAAACTCATTTCAATGCTTTTTCTAAAAGGTAACAAATATAATTTTAATCAACTTCCTTGGAAAATATTTTTAAAACAGGTATCAATAGAAAAAATTACAAAACATCATATGAAGCTATAAATAATTTTGAAAAACTATATCATCATAAAGCGTAAGTAATAATCTTAAAAATACACTCTTAAGAAGGTATGTAATTTGCAAAGGAAAATGGCTAGATATCTGATGGGACAGTAAACCTTGAAAGAAACTGGCTAAAGAGTAAGTGTGTGTATATTTCTGAACCTAAGTAATTATTTGTCACGACTTTAAAATTTAGCCAGTTACAAATATTTTAAAATCCTAACTTTAAAGTTATCTAAAAAAGGCAATATGGAGGAAATAGTAATTTTGTTTTTGAAAGATGTTGAAAACTGATCACCATTTCAGAGGCTTCAAATTCATAATTTCATAATAAGAACAAGAAGTAGAAAGCATATGGGCAAGGAACAAATATGTGGCCAGCCAGTCCCCTTAGACGAACTAATTTTGTTCTTATTAAAAATGCCAATACAATTGACTTTCTCTTTAAATTCTTCACTATGATTGAAGACCACTCCATATATACATCATTAAGAAATGCTGTTAACACATGGACAGACAAGACAGTAACAGTCTAGTGGCTTTTGTTATGCAGCACAAATATTAAAGGAAAAAAATAGCAGTGTTGCGTAGGATCTTAACATTTCATACACATACCATCCTTTCTTTTCCAATACACTTAATTTAAAACTCCAATAATTCTGTCTAAGCCTTATAAAATAAATACTTGTAAAGCTTATAAATTAGATGTTGAAGACTTTTATGGAGGCAGTGTGAGCTTTAATTTGAGAGACATGTCAATGAAACCTCCAGTATCAATAACAAATTGTTATGATAATTGCTTATTTTTTCAGGACCTTTGAAGCAAAATAAATAGAAATCAGTTTTCATCTTGAAAATGGTTTACTACTTTGTCATTAGTAAACACTTTGCTTCTCACAAATAACTCCACCTGTGCCTTCCTGGGAAACTACCACCAGTTTCAAATCTCAATAAGATGTTAGTTTCACAGGAAATGTGGAGCTGAACAAAGAAATGATGAGTATGCTTGGCCAAACTATGCAGCACTATATTAATATTTCTTTGCTAAATTTTTTATAAAATAAACAAATAAGCCGATTTTTTAAAGTAAATATAAGGATATGTAATTACCATCTAAATGAAGATTTAAATTTAAAGAGACATATATATTTTTTGTTCTTTTGTGCAAACTGAGAGTATGGGATTCTTTATGAAGCAATTATTTGGAAATTAAATAGTTATGGCTTCCTTCAAAAATAAAACTGCAGATTTAATTAACGAATATTAAATACAGATCAATCTACTGATAGGCAGTCATGTTCTACATATATGAGTAAACATGACACTTCTTTTAGTCAACTAATAGGAAATTCAATTAGAAAAAAATTGAATTATTCAGGTAATATACAATATTAAGAATGTAGAATAGAACTAAAAGAAAAAGAAGTCACATAATCTCTTATTAGAAATAATGAAAGTAAAATGAGAATTATAATATCAGTACTGCATGTTACATATTCTTCTTTAAAATTTTGTAATAAACATTGACAGTGTTTGGTAGGCACAGGGAAACAGGATAACGTAGAGTCATTACAGAAGAAAAAAACTTATTGCTAACATTGCAGTATTCCTTTTATCAGAATTAGGTGAGTATTGATTGTAAAAGCTCTATCAACTCTTGCTCTTATTTGATGACTTTGAGACTTTTTTACTCTTGCTATAAAAAGAAGGCTACTTTCTTTCCCTAATATATTTCTACCAATGCGAATAATTCAGGAAACAATGAGAGAAAAGTAATTCACACTTAATGTGTTGTTACTTAAGAGATTTGACGGATAAAATAAAATCAAATTAAATCATTGAAAAGGCAGGCTTAGACCCCCTTAAAAACACCGTTAGTTGCCTACCATAATTTGAGCACTTTTTCATGAAAAAAAAAAAAAAACCATTCAGTTTCCTACAGATTTTGCACAGTTCATTCCATGGAGATACTTTTAGGGAAATAGGGAAGAGGGTTGTGAAATGTAGCCTCCCCTCATTCCTCCTCTGTGCAGCCCAGCAGCTCTGACCGCAATGTGATCCTCCCGTACCAGGACCAAGGAAGGATTCTTATGTGTCGTGCATAGATGGGAGGGTCGATGACATTTTTTCTGTGAGTGTCATTGTCAAAATTTCCCTGGAAAACCTAATAAAGAAGAGCAGAAAAATGTCAGTCACACAGCCTTCTTTCTTTGAAATTATTTTTATGTTCCTGTTTGGAACATTTTCCCCAAACATGATATTTGATAACTATTCATTTTCTTTTCTTCAAAATATATTGCAGCTTCTTTTTAATAATAATTATTTTAAATTAAATGGTCAATTAATGTTTAAAGAGTTAAACCTTTATTGTTTAATGCAGACATTCATAGGTCTATCATTTTCCTCTACTTGTTTCTCTCAATTAAAAAAAATACAACAGGTATTCATTTTTTGCTTATGTCACAGGCTGACGTTAGTCATGTAGCTTGCTGAAGATGCTCTCTTCCACGGGGTGACTCAGAGATCCAAGCTGCTTGCAAAGTACAGCTATCATCTGGAGCAGGCGGCCTCCACATTCACAAGGGGCAAGGGGAGGGAGAGTTAGCAGACTGTGCAGAGTGTTTAAGAGAACAAGCATGGAAGCAGCTTATATCACTTCTGTATATATCTGTTTCACCTTACCTAATTATATGACTCCAGCCTAACAGCAAAGGAGGCTGGGCACTGGAGAGAAGCACAAGGCTATCTGGTGAGCACTAACGGCCTCTATCACAGTGCCTTTTGCCCACTTCTTCTCACATAGAGAATAAAACTAGCCCATCTCCAAATGAGACAACACAATCAATGCTGTTTTTGAACTGTTTTTCTCTTCTTTTTTGGCTTCATCTATTAATTCCTGGATCCATACAATACTATTGGGATGAATATGACTTATAATATCCTGACCCTTTGCATTGCACGTCTATTCTTCTTTCTTCTTTTGTAAAAATGCTTTTTTTTTTTTTTTTTTGGAGCTTTACTATTACTATGGCCACTTGCTCTTCCCCAAAAGACTTTCATAATAACTTGGACAAATGTCTGCTTCAGAAAACAAAACAAATTTAAAACACTGGGTCCCTGATAGGAATGGCATTAAATTATAAATTATGTTGGGGTAAACTGAGGTATTTATATTATTTAGTCTTTATCTGAAGATTTTATCCTTTTTTTCTTATAGATTCTGAACATTTCTTATTAAAGTGATTTCTAACTATTTTATATCTACATTTTTAAAAATTTAGATTTAGTTTAGATTTTTAGATTTAGTTTAAATTTTTAGAGTAAAAATCTCTTCAACGCTTTCTGTTTTTGCTTTATGAAGCATCTTATAATTAGAAGATAATTTTCTTTCTTGTTTGACATCAAATTTCTTTCTTGTTTGGCATCAAAACATAACTATGTGGCCAGAGACACCTGAAGATAAAATCCTTAAAGTAGAAAACAAAAAACAACCAAACTCCATCATCACATGACAGGATACTTAACCCACATCTTTCAGCATTCTGAAATTAAAGGGAATGTTTTAAAAGCCTTCTAGGCTAGATTGGTTCAGTCTTATACGGCCACAAATGTTCTCCTGGAAAGAAAAAAATCATATTCTCCTCAAAAGCATTAGGCAGTACGGCACTGATTAATAGGAGCAATAGACAAGACTGAAAAGTCTCTCTGCTGGTTCTGCTGGCATATCTAAATTCATATTCATTTAGCAGGCATTTTATGCTTAGTAATGCCCTGTCTTGCACAAAGGAATAATTCATTCTGGACTGAAATGTGCTACTACTATGTTACAATGTCTCTGTTAGCAAAACTCACAGGTACAGGACATATCATAAACACTCACCAAAAATCTTGAGAGACTGTTGCTACTGCAACAGCAGAAAATAAGCCCTGGTTTACTGACATCCTCTCTGACATATGATGTTGGATTCAAATATTTCACTGAGATTGTGGTATTACAATTTAATACGGAATCTAAAATCCAATTTTGTAGCCCTGCTAGTGAACTTAATGTATATCTCTGGGATAATAGAGTTTAAATTCATTAACTTTCATTGCAAGATTTATAACAGCCCGAAATATAGTTTTATACCACTTCTTGGGAAGGAAATACAGAAAGAAACAATTTTCTCTTAAGTGTCTGCTCTCCAGCACAGGTTTTGATGCGAACTATCAACCCAGAAAGTATTAGTTGAATTATTAATTATACTTATTTCTTTATAATGAAGAATACATACAGAGAAACTATATCAGCTCTGGAACTGAAAACAACTATGAAATTTCTGATTTAATATGTGAAAGTCATGGATATTTGCATGTTCACTTAAAAAAAGTGAAGTTTCACGAAACAGGATGATTAATAAAACAATAACGTTCACAGAAAAACAGCCGAAATCTATACTAGAATCACAGAATTTACAGCCTCAAAGTACTGAAAATATATTTTTATTTTCAGAGGCCTCTCAGTAATGACACGTACAGAACACAAAGCACCCACTTGCTAATTCCAGGATGATATTTTGTACTTGTTGTGTAAACATGTGGCACATGTGCTGTTTTCTTATCTCAAGCACTAGGAAGCCCCTGCTTAAGAATGCCACCTAAATATTTCACCTTGCAAAGGAATGCAAACACAGTATTTTTAGTTAACTTCATAAAATCTCTAAGATTTCTAGAAAGTGCTTTCACAGGCACATTTTAGAGACATAAGCATCTGAACTAAAACTGAAGTCTGAAAAGACTGATAGAGAACATTAAATCTCTATATAGGAGTGAAAATATTTTACATGAGAAAGACACAGTTCAATTTAGAATTTTTTAGAAAAACTATGCACAAGTTCCAGTTCAGGAAGGAGGCTAATTGGCTGATCACAAATTTGCTGATATATTCAAACATGATATTGCTTAGAGGTCTCTCAGGCTTTTTCTAACATATGGGGCCTTGATCAAAAAACACTCAAGGTACTTTGCAGAAGCTTCCATAATTACAACCTAAGAGAAGATAAGAGAAAGAAAAATACAACTCCCTCAATGTAGCTATCTTGATTTTCTTTTTCCTAAGGTTAACTCTCTTGTGATGCTGGTTGAAAATACAAATCAGATTCTTCAGAGGATTCAAATCTCAGCACGGAGAGAATATCAGATAAAATAAAACAATAAAATCTTGTTTCTAGCAGCATTAATACATTTTTTATAAGACGAGCTACCATTCTTTGTTAGGACTACGGTCTATTCAGGCCGGTATAGACATCAATAGGAGGCCTCCAGGGATCATGGAACAAAGTAACATTATCCTCCACGATGTAGTCAGAGAGGTGGGGCATATTTCAGTTTCTTTTAGCAGTCATCGAATAGGACTCTAAATATCAAAGAATCCCTTGGGGACTTCTTGCACATATGATTTCTTTAGAAAATTATCTAGTTTGTAAAAATGTGCTTCTTTTCATTTGTCCTAAACTTAACTGATTAAAAGTTTTAAAGAGATTACCATTGTTCTAACTTTTTGGAATTGCTGTTCACATCATTCAAATAGCGAGTGGTTCTAAGCATTTTTAGATAGATTCCCTATGGCTAAACATCAGCATTTTACATCAGTATTAAACACCAGTATTTTATTAAGATTTCAAGTGACCATCACTTCATCCCTCTGGGTTTTTGTTGCCCCCTTATAGATTTCATTATTTTTCTTCTGCTATTTGGAGACTATAGTCGAACCGCATCTGGGATTTCAGATATTGTGGAAATATAAAGGTTGAGTGAGACTTTCTAAAGTTTTTTCTATTGATTGTATTTGCTTTGTTTATGGTATCAAGCATACCACTGGCCTTACTGACTGTATCTGTACACTGACCTGCTGTTCTTAAGGGATAGAGGACAAAGGTAAAGATCCATTTTCCTAGGGCAGCATGTATGTGTCTGTGTCTGTGTCTGTGTGTGTGTGTGTGTGTGTGTGTGTGTGTGTGTGCAGAGGTGCTGGGCTGAAAGCTCAGAATTCTTTATTTAACATACATAATTTCAATCCTTTGAGCTTTCATCCAGAGCACTAATGGAGAAGTTAAATAAGAACAGTCTTTGGTAGCTCTGATCCTCAGAAACCCTGTTTTTATCTAATTCTACCCATATAATGAAAGAATCTGAGATCTGGAAGAGAACTCAGAGATCTGCTATCAATAACTTTTCCCTCTAATATTTCTAACATGGAACTTTCAGCCTATTCATGGCATGCCTCAATACAATAGGACAGGTATGTATTTAGACAGTTTGAAAGTCTATCTTTTTAGAAGACTAAAATGTGTATCTCTCACTTCAGTCTATTGAATCTAGTGCTTAATTCTCAATGAATATAGAACAAACTTAGCTCATCAAAAGAACTTTTGACATACTTAACAATAATTGACACAAACCTCTCAAAAACTCAACTTCAGCGCTCTAGGCTAAACATTCATAGTTCCTTAAAAAGTTCCTCATGTTGCATGATTTTCAGACTTATAATCTTGATTGCATTCCATTGACTAACATCTGTTTTAACTATGGCTCAGTGAAAGCGTGGTATTTATTGGGACACAGAATGTAGACATACTGTGAATAACTCAAAAGATAGAGTGCGCCTTTGTTGTAGATGCAATATTTCTATCAATGCAGTCTAAAATGTAGAATAATTATATTGCATTTTGGGTTATAGTTGATTGATTTATGGTCAAATAGATTTTGGATATTTTCATAATTTCTCCTCAGTGAGGGTTTTCCAATTTTTTTTACTTGTATCTGTTTTATAAAGCAACCATTTATATATTATATAAGTATATAATTCTGATTTTTGTGGCTGACATAAGGGACAGATGCTTATTAATTTATAGTTCAGGATCATAAAATTTATTTTTATATACTTAGTGTCAACATTACTTCAATTTTTTTGACTGTCAAAAATTTCAGAGTTACAACTTGAATCAACGCTTTAAGTGATGTAAAGTCTTATGAAAATTTTCACGGAATTAGTATGCATGAATCACGTCAAACATAACATTTTTCCATTTGAACAGTTTGGGAAAGAGCTTTCTTTGTTTCTAATTCTAGGGCTAGATTTTCAGTAATATTTTAGGATAATCTAAAATTTATGTTCTACTTTGCCCTATATGCAAGCATTCCAAAAATCAAATTTTTTTTATTAAAAAGGAAAAAAATATCAAAATATATAGAAAATTATTTTTAAACATTTTAGTTAGTGGTATACATCTATATCATATTAAACAAATCTTATTGGAAGCTTTGCATGTATGAAACTTCTATAAGTGATTGGCTATAAAAAGTCTGAAACCAAAGTTTAATTCTTTTAGCCAAAATAGACTGCAGCTATCATTCTGTGAATTCAATTTTCTAGGAAAATTTACCAGCATCCTGAAACCATTTCATGATTGAATGGCTAGTATATTATTCTTGATGTTTTTCTCTGCAATCAATTCCACTAAACCAATGAAACTCTGTAACAAAATTAGCCTCAATATGAGTACATTCTTCCGGATGTAATAAGGAAACAAGAAATTCATTTCCAGATAAATTTCAATATTCTAAGAAATGTTTCTTTGGAAAATAGTGATATTGAGAATTATATTCTAAGAGGGTCACCAAAAAAGTAGGGGTTTCTGTTGGAGCCAGTAGACTTTGTTAATAAGTGTCTATATTGATCATCAGTCTGCAGAATGAGCTGGGGGATCAGCCTTCACTACAGGGCAGCCCAACAACACTACAGCACAAATTGTCATTGACAGAAAGGAACAGAGAGCTACCACAGTGTCTTCCATCCCATAGCATCCTGAGTGGAACCATTACCCTCCAAAGCTGAAATAAGGTCATAACTAACCGAAACAATTTATCAGCAGGTGAAAGTCAAATGAAAAAAAATTCAACCAAAATGTATACATAAGACCTTAAAGTAGAGCCAAAGACAATGATAAAGTTACATGTCCCAGTTTGTGAAAATATAATGTGTGTAATCTACAGATAAGAGATCAAATGCGAAGAGGACTTGTTTTCATATCAACCACTAATTGTAACATATTAGACAATCACTTTATTTTTCTGTATCCAAAAGGAGTTGATCATCTTGTCTTCTTTGCAAGAAACATATCTAGACACATCTTAATCTTGAGTTTGCTTGTGTGTACTATCTTGAAGTAAATTGCTGACCATCATATCTTTTTTCTATTGAACAGTTCTTCTGCAGAGTTTAGGATGTGTCAAATCTAGTGTAAGCATAGCGTTTACAGACACATGTCATTCCAGTGATCAGTGTACAGTCTACAAAACCGTGTGTAATACGAGTGTGCAGTAGATGTTAACCTTACCCAAGGAGGAGTCTGTTTTTCACCCTCAGCAACTTGAAGGTAATCTCTAAGCCCTTGGAATGGCCTGTCTGAGAAGAGTATTTTTGTTTCCCAGGGGGCTCTGGGCCACACCAGATAGCCTATGCTAACATTGTGGTTTACAGTGGGGTCTTCAGGTCAGCTTGACCACTGAAAAGGAGGAAACTAAGGTTAGCCATACAGATGGTCAACCATGTCTAAATGTAGGAGCTTCCACAAAAACTCTGAATACCAACGCTAAGGTGAGCTTCCTAGTTGGCAATACTCTGGGCTTACTGTCACGTAACATTGCTGAGAGAACTTACTACTCTCCAGAAGTCTCCAAGACAACTGAAAGCTCATTCCTGGACTCTCCTGGACTCTGCCCCATATGTCTCTTCCCTTAGATGATCTGTATCCATATCCTTTCATCGTGATAAACGATAACTGTATGATAATTTTAGTTGTGTTTGTGAGTTTTTCTATTGAATTATCAAACCTGAGAATGATCTTGGGGAACTGTGAATGTGCAATTGATGTCAAAAGTGAGGGTGGGTTTAGGGAATCCTGAATTTGTGATGAGTAATTGGTATTGAAGGGCTACAGGTTTCATCTAAGTTTTGTTGTCTGAAACATTGACAGTTGGAAAAGGAACCTCAATTGTCTGAAAGGGTTGTATCTACAACTTCCCCAACATCATGCGCCAGCGTGTGACAGACATTCAGGCTTTAAAGTTGATTGTGAACTTACTTTCTATTCTGATTCTTTGAATAAATCCTCAAAGGACAATCCATTGAAATTTGTTTATTTTGGCCCATAAGTATACTTTCTAAACTTTCTACTGTTAGGTTCTACTCTCTCTATTTTACTTGCTGTTCTTATTTTCAATTTCTGGATGATATTTATTCTCATGGGCATAAACCTAATAAGCATATCAAACAACCAGTGTTACTTGTCCTCTTGCATATTTCAGTAACAAAAAATCCAACTTCTTTATTCTCCTGTATTTCTTTAATATCATTTCCATAAAAGCTTATAGGTCCTTTGAGAAATACTACTTTGTCCATCTACTTGGGTTTCTTTTGAAATCCCTTAAGAAACTGCAGTCAGATTTTCTTAAAGCTATCGTGCATGGTCATATATATAATAATTCTGCACCATAATTCATATTGGATATTAATTTTATCTATGTTCTTTTTAAAATGATGTTTTGTTCCATAAACCCTTTGAAAAATCTAGACCCTGTTTGCTTCAGAGACTTCTTTGCTTCCCAAGATTTCTCCATGAAACTACCTGAGGCTTTCAAACTGCTTATTTAACTTCAAAAATCTAATTATAGAACATTTTTGCTTGATGGGAGAAGTGAAAAACAAAACATGGGGCAGGTTCCATAGTCTCTCTTTCACACGGGCATGATCCATTTAAACCATTAAAATGAATATATGGGTTCTCTAAAAAAATTATTTCCATTCCCATTGTTGCTCTCAAGAAATTTCTTGTGGCTCTAAAGTTTGCTTTCTATTGTAACTATGTAAAAAAGTAGATTTTTGGCTTCAAGAAATACTATACTTTACTGAATGAATCTGGCTTTGCTTCATGTTCCTCATGTATATAAATCTCTGATTATAGCCCAAGAAATTCTTTACTACACCACAAATTTGATGTTCACTTACAATTCTTGTAGCATGATTTGCACTCTACTGCTCCTTCTGTTAGATTTTTTTTTTCTGAAAATGCACAAATGAAAGATTCCAATAATAATTGGCCAAAACATAGGCAAAGGTGTTTTTTTCCCTACCCTGGCAATAAAAGTCCACATTTCCGGCCCTTCATTGCTTCTCAAATTGCCAGATTCTCTTTGGTTTCCATGTAGTTGACATGAAAGCTGGTTTGGGAACATATTTCTTCATTGGGAAAGAGAACTGTGTGATAGCTTTCTAAAATTCATTATTTCTTAGATCCTCTGGAATTTGAGAGTATTGGAAAAGAGGAGGAAATAGCACATTTTTGATAGTATTTTTTTTAGAACATTTAACTTCTGGCTTTTCGTAGAAGAGTTCAACTGCTCCTAAAAAGATATGGGATTAGGGAATCCTATTCTGCCCAGTAGTATCAACTTGTCTATTACTGGCAAGCTGGCATAGGCAATACTTGTGATTCCCTAGTCCACTGTGAGAGTGACAAGTTGAGCTAGGAATTGCCAACATCCCAGTCAGCCCGATGAGAGACCAAAGGGACTGGGGCAGAGTGGCCATCTCCATTCATTCTACGGACTGTTTTCTTGCATAACTTTGGCTTTAAGTAGCTGGAGAGCTGGTAGCTCTTTAGAAAGAGCCCCAAGAGCCTCACTAAGAAGTTCATGTTACCTTTTGTTATTAGGTCTTGACCTTGGGAAAAAGACGTAGTGAAAAATCAAAGCAAAAGAGTCCATCCTCCTTGACTGTTACCTTCCTTTCCCCAAGCTTGCTGTCATTTAGAATGTAGAGTCTAAAAGCCAGTAGGTAGGATACACCACCATATTTAACTTCTTTTATGATGAAAGTCTCCTTAAGTAATGACAATATCTTAGGAAATATATCACATAGGATGATTGCCTATAAAGATTTATGAAACATAAAATATGCCATTCTAAACTGTGGCTATATATTTAAACTATCTGCCTTCCACTACTCAGATTTTGACTGCCATAAGAAATATTCCCACAGAAAAAGTAGAATTGGGAAACCATCTGCTTTTCAAAGACATCTCCAGGAGATATTACCAGGAATAGTTGGAAAGTAAGGGCATCTACTTTTTTCTTTTTAGTAGAACATGAGAAATGTAGAAATGCCTTTCCTCTTTTCTATAAAAGTACAGAGCAACTTGCCTCTCTATTGAAGCTCAAAACTCATCTCTCAAACTCTCATCTGAAATCACACTATGTATTTTCCATCTCATCAGAACAATTTGAGACTCTACCCCTGACTCTACCCTTCATGGTAGATATATAAATGATGTGGCAGTAGAGAAATTGGTGTATTTGGTAATTCTTCCCGCATTAGGAGACTTTTCCTCACTTCAAGTCTCATTGAAGAGTTTCACCCTATCCTTGTCAGAAATGACTTAATATCGAGCTCTATGTATGAACACAGAAGTGATTTAAGCACTCAGCCATGTGACTTCTAAGCCAGACTCATGATGAGGGGAAAAGAGTATTAGGGAGAGGAGACAATCCTGGAGATGGATGCAGGGGTGGCAAAGTGGAATCGTACAGCTGAAGCAGGGTGCCTAGGTGTGAGCGTAAGCATGTATTGCCTAGGCACAGAAAGTAGTCATTCTCCTTTATCCTCTCTCCTGAGTATCCTCAGTAGACCATCTGGTCCAGCTACAAGACATAGAAGATCTTAACTGGAAACAAGGTTGCAAGATCAAATATTTTGAATATACTTATACTAAAGAATGTATCATTTATCTGAATTTAAGTTTAACTAGGTGTCAGTATTTTTATTTGCCAAATCTGGCAACACTATATGAAGAACATGAGGAATGCTAGACCTAAGCTGAGCAGTCACTAACTCTTCTTTGGGATAAGCTAAATTTTGGGTCTTTTTTCTTTTCTTAATGAGTTGAGGGCATATTATTATTAAAATATGCTTGATCTCAGAAGAGAAAAGTAAACTTTGCTATTACTTATGGCTATTGGGGTATTACCAAAAAGAAGAAAAGAAATAAAAGTGCAATTTTGTTATGTAAAAGTTATATTATTTTCACTCATATATGAGGAATGTCTTCCTTTAATTATTATTAAATATCAGACATTTCATTTATCTGTTCAAAATTGATGTTGTTTCTAACTTTACTGGAAATGAGGAAATTAGTTCTTGTGTTCAGTTTTCTGAGTTTGGTCCTCTGCTCACAGCTTCAGAAAAACCGAGAGGACTGCCTCTTCACACAGGTATAATAACTGAATCCATCTTTGGTTAAAGTTATTTTTTAAGCAGTTTTGTGTCTCAAATTATGCCAGAAGTTTTTTGATGATGAGAAATGTGTTGCCTCTGTAATAAGTGTCCCCACACGGCTTATTACAGGTGTATTTGTCCCAAGAGTGCTCTATTCATATTAACACACTTTCTCTTTGAGATTCAACCAAAGGAACTACGTAAAAATCATTGCCAAATGATTAACTTTATAGGGAGTGGCAGATTCAGAAATCTTTTTATAGTTTCCCATAAACATGGATATATGACAGGTATCATTTGTTCTTTTTCAGATTTAAACTGTGAAAAAGTAGAAAAATACTGCCACATTAATTAAGACATTGTGAAACTGTTAAGGGGGAGACTTTTAATTGCTTAACATATTGCAGCTGATGGTGTGATGGTGGATAGTAAAAATGGCAATATGTATCATGTAGAACTAAAGTCCTTGAGCATTTTTTTTTATCATATAATAAACAATCAAAATATTAGTTGTTTGGTGATTATTTAGAAATAAAATGGGTTGAAATTTTTGCTATATTCTAATTGATATAGTTTGGATATTTGTCCCCTCCAAATCTCATGTCAAAATGCGATCCTCAATGTTGGAGCTGTAGCCTAGGGGGAGGTGCTGGGTCATGGGGGCAGATCCCTCTTGTATGGCTTGGTGCCCTCCCTATTGTATTGAATGAGTTCTTGCTCTATTAGTTCACAGAAGAGCTGGTTGTTAAAAAATAATGTGTCACCTTATCCTCTCTCTCTTGCTCCCTCTCTTGCCACGTGATGAGCCTTCTCCCTCCTTGACTTCCATCATGAGTAAAAAAAGCTTCCTGATGCCTCACCAGAAGCCAAGCAGATTCTGTTGCCATTCTTGCACAGCCTGTAGAACCATGAGCCAAATAAACCTCCTTTCTTTATAAATTACCCAGTCTTAGGCATTCCTTAATCGTAACACAAAATGGACTAACACCACTAGTCAATGGTTACTGCATACTTAAACTATCAAAATAATGACATAGTTTCTATCATACTCAGATTGATCGAGTACTTGTTTTCCTAGTAGGAAAGAAAACTATCAGATTCACCTAAAATAGCATCGTAGTTTTTTCTATTCAAAATGCTAATTTTCTCTCAGCTAACATCTCCTGCTTTCATCAGGTTCATCACTACCTCTTAATGAATGATAACATCACTGAATTTTAAACAATTTATTAAAGTTTGATAGTCTTGATCATTCTACTGGGGAGCTAATCGCTAATCAATATTTTTAACATGTTAGCATTTTTAATCAATGCATAGAGTCACAGTTGGGCTAACACTTGATGATTTTTCTTAGTAGTTGTATAAGAATGACTTAAATAAAAGCATGAGTAACTTTTTTCACTGAGAAATATTGTCATTATGCAATTAGGTCTATTAATAAATAAGTCACACACAAACATGAGATATTCAGAATTTTAAGTGTACACGTTTTTAGTGATTTCTGATGAGTGGTGGAAGATTGAGAAGATAAAAATAGGAAGATTTTAACTTTTTTGGCATTTGAGCACTGGGAAAAGTAAGGTGATAAAGCATGTAATAATAAACAACATTTAAATTATTTTTCATTTATGAATATTTTACTTTGATAATACTGCTATGTAACATATTCCTTATGTTTTCACACATATTTTTTCCTTTTTTGCAGAAACGTGCTAACTAGAAAAACTATATTGTTTCAAACTTTAAGGGAGTTTATCAAACTCCCTGAAAATGTAACTCTGAGTTTTGGAGAAAAAAGATAATTAGCAAGAAAAAACAATAAGCATGTATTTACTCCTTATTATCATATTATCCTGACTTGTTTTCTGCTTTCTCCATAAATTTATTGAGAACGATGTTTCATAGCATCTGTACTAGGTGGTTATCTGTCATTAAATAACAGTCACACCAGTAGGGACATTCTTCCTGCTCCTTGCCCCCAACCCACCCTAATATTGGTGAATTTTATGAATTTTCTGCCTGATGTATATTTGTTTCTACCACCTAATTGTTGTTAGACAGCTTTCTGCTTTTGCTCTTTTGTCTTTTAACGATGAAGGTTAAAACATCCAAATGCCAACAAGAAAAGTAAATGATTCATTGTCCAAAATTAACTGCATATTTCACATTGACAGTGTTTAATATTAGAAAATGTGAACTAATATACAAAGGATTTTCTTAGAAACCTCAAAATTAATCCTTAAAGAAGGACAACTGGCTTTCAATTGATGTTTCCAAATAAACTGAATGACTTCTTAAAAAATCACTGAGCTCCTTCAGACAGAATGGCTTCTGGTTGTTCCTGTGGCTAATGAGTCACTCTGGTTTGTCTTTCATTTCCAGCATGTAGCTAGTTGTTCCATTCTACAGTTGCACTTACATTGGGCACTAGCCCTCTCTCTGCTCATCTCTATCCCATAAGCCGCACCTCCTGTTGTCCCCTTCCTTTCCTGCTCTTAAACCCTTCTTTACCCTGCATCCAAGAACAAACATCTTAGTTGTTCTTGGATCTAGGTAGGACACTTGCAGCTTATGTTAAACATGGAAATGGAAGCATAATACTTTTTTAGGAGACCCAGGGCTATTTGCTTGTGGACTTGCATCCATTTTTTTCTGTCTTGTTTTTGACCCCAGGCCTCCACTTCACAACTGATTCTGATAAGTGGGTCCCTATTATGTTCTCTGTGTACCTTAACAACTGCTATCACACTACTCATTGATGACAATATGCTGCTTTCTGAATTCAGTTTATTTAACTAGATTGTCCTTTCCCAACTCAGCAGGCAGATCTAGGCCTGCAAACCACTTTCACTTTGCTAAGTCAATTATTCTGTACTTAGATATTTCCTGATACATTTCATTCTTGGTCAGAGGCCTTAGCAAAATTTACAAGCATCCCATTCTATTTTGGGCATACCAGCACATATCCTAGTCAGGTCTCATAATATTAAATTACAAGTAGAAAAGCAGAGAAACTTCTGAATAACAGTTGATACCAAATGGTATTTATTTAAATAACAATATCCATGATGTGCTTATTACACATTGCATGCCTGTATTAAAACATCTCATGTACCCCATAAATATACATACCTGTCTATGTACACACACAAGTTAAAAATATGCAAATTAAAATAAATAAATAAATAACAATGTTCTTATTTTTAGACGATTTGAAATAATATAATGGTCTTCTTAACTTTAGTTTCAATTAAGTCACTCAGCCACTGAATAAGTAAAATAAAGTGACTACATGAATTTCTATCATGTAGGGGCACACTTCACTTGCTATTACTGAATCCTAGTGTTTTGTATAAAGTCATGTATTTTTTGGAAATTGCTTTTTGGAAAGCAGCCTCCGTTCCTTCCTTCTCTGCCTTATTTGAAAAGAGTAACAGGACTCTGAATGGATGAAACTAATGGTCTCCATGCAATATGGAGTGAAACCGTCCTTGATCCTGCTGCTCAGAAACATGCAGCTGCTCCCTCTTGAAAGACAATTCACTCCCTTTGCTTTTCCCCCTGCTATCATCTTCCTCTGTGATTGCCACTGACAATTCCATTTTATTTACTCCCTAAGGGATTCTTCAGGTTCTAAGTTTCTCACCCAGATCAAATTTCAAAAGAACAGCATGAGTATTATTGACTACTCATCTGACCTCTGCCTTACCCATGAGTTGGACTTTCAAGGTATTAAACATTCAAATTTAATTTCAGCTCTCCAAAACTACTCACTTCAGCAGAAATGACAGGATGCTCTGTGACATCTGTAATTACTGTTGAATTTGAATATATCCTTCAATGCAGACCATGGCTGGCAGCTTTATTAATGGGGACTGATGATATTGCTGCTTCTATTTTTCACACCCATGTTGAGAAAGGGAAGGAGGTTGAAAAGGACCAGGGACTCTTTTCTTCTATTGGAGAGTGATGGACTTTTATGAAACTGACATAATCTATGTGCTACTTCTTCCCTAGAGTTGTTTTATCAAATAATATACCTAGTAGGTTATATTTTGACTTTCCCAAATAAACGGATTAAATCAAAATTTTTCCACCTTTACTGAGCTTCTCATTAGACTGGGAGACTGTGTCATATTCAGATTTTTTTCTCACATGGAATCTGCCAACTGAATACACAGTTGGATGAATATAAATTTCACCTCCTTCTAGATGATCCCCCCATCTAATCTGCATCCTAAGCTACTTAAATATATTATTTCAATTTAAAATTTGTTTAAAGCTAGTGTTTACTTTGTGATTTTCATAAGGGAATTGGCAAACTTATTAAAATTTAATCTTATTTTTAGAAACATTGATTCATATTGACTTCCTCTGACCAATTAGAGGCCAAAGTCCTAAAGAATAATAATAAATTCCATTCTCACTAGAAAAACAGAAAACTACACTTAGTTTCAAAAATTTAATTTTGTTTTTGGCATCAATTAGCCATTTTTCACACACTTGCTTATTATTAGCTGGGGCCTCTGTAAACATTTAGATTTCCAGCTCATCTCCAGAGAGTCTGAAGCAGGGCCCAGAAATATGTATTTTTAAACAAGCTCTCCTCATGAGTGCCATAATCAGACAATTATGGTAACTACTGAATTAGAGAGTTCACCAAGATATTGCAGTTTATTTCTTGATGAATATACGTGTGATTCCTCTTTAAGGACCAAGAAAGTATTATTGGAAACAGGGGATTTTGTTTTCTGTTTTGGAAAATCCAGGTAAAGTTTCAACTTTTCAACTTATGCTTTTACAAAACCCTGGATAATTTTAGGGAGGGAGATGAAATAGAGTATTACCAGCTTCTTTATTCCTGAAAAAAGAAAGCTCCTATGCTGTGAATTCAGACTTATTTAAACACTACGATGTTATGACTAATATACTGGATGAGAAAACCCATTTTTATTTCTAATTTTTCCATATAAGTACTCTTCCTGAAATTTATTATTGCTTTACTTTGGCTTATAACCTGAAAAATTAAATACTGAAAGTGTTTGTCAAGTTTTGCAGTTTTCCTGCTAAATGCAGTAAAAAACAGCTCCAAGTGTATAAAACAAATGTCACTTTCATAAGAGCAAAGGAACATTTGACTTTCAAATAAAAATGTACCTGAATTAATGCTGTAGAGAAATATAAAAGTTAGTTAAATGTTAGAAAATGCTGTAGACTAGTAAGGGGAAAATAAAAATGTATGGACTGTAATGAGAGTGTCATCACAGGCTCAATTACAAGAGATTTAATGTGGAAATTAGCTAAAAAACAATACTAAAGTAAACTGCAATTCTTGTGAATGCTATAGGAGGGTATTCAAAAACTGACATCTCAATTAGGAGAACAGAGTATTATTTTTCTTCAGTTGACTTTTGGCATGTGTGTGTACACATGTATATTTATTACATATATTTAAATACTCCTGTGTGTGTGTGGGTGTGTATATATATATATACATTATATACATATAATATATATACGTATATATATATACGGCATTGCTTTTCTGAGGCTTAGTCACTCTGATTAATAAAAAACAAAAAGGCCATTGATACATTTTTCGAGTTTTATACCACTTACTGTAAACCTAGAAAACTGCATTTATTTTCAGATTACTTTTCTGAAGTAATCTTGTGTCTGGATCTACATTAGACTTCCACACCCACCCTCCAAAAATCTATTAAAGCAAGCAGTCAATAAAAACAAACAGCACAAAAGAAGACTTAGAAGCTTTTGTTTATACATATTTCTGTTTGAAAAGTGCATCTATAAAACATCTCACAGACACATGTTTTGCCCTGAAACATTCAATTCATCTATTATATTTGTCTGGATGAAAGCTTGTGGTTGAATTGGCACTTGTAAATATTGAAGACTTTTTTTTCCTCTTATGGAGAGTAATCATGGAAAACAAGACAAAAATAATGTTAAGAATCAATAGGAGATGGCTTACTCAATGTTAGAAAAAATTAATTGCTAAGTAGTATTGAGCCCTTTTAAACAGAAGAGGACATCTATAAAGGATGTATGAAATGATACATAAAATATCTAGTAGAACTAGTAATAATAAAGCAAAAGAGTTATTTTGATACCTATCAAAAACATATTTCATTGATATATATGTATATTTACATATAAAATGACTACATTTTCAAGTGTTTAAATAACTTAGGCAATACATTTTCTCATTTGTTTTATAAAATTCTTTTCTATGTAAAAATGGAGAGACCTAATGCTCTGTAATTCCTTCTTCCCCATAAAAGATTTCCTTATGATAATACTAATTACTGAATTTTTATCTACAGTTTATTGGTGTCAGTTGTCTTCTTCAATAGTAAATAATAAACTTAGGCTTTTATCTTAGGCTTTTCTTCATTATGCCTAATTAGTTACAATATTAAAAGCAAACTGGTTAGATTTCTTCTTAAAACTACCAGTTAAATTGGCTAAGTTTAGCCAATTATCATACATTTATAACATAAAAATGGTTTCATTAAAAAATTTTACATTATACGAATAATAGTGTGCTTTATGGTCTCACAGGAGAATTCCAGCTCACATTATTTTTAGTAAATAGTATGCATCAATCTACTTTCACAATTTTCCAACTTGCCTAGTAGAGTCTATTTTTTCTTAACAATAATATTTATTTTGGTTCGATGTTTGAGGTGATGGATATCCCAATAACGCTGATGTGATCATTACACACTGTATGCATGTATTAAAATATCATATGTAGCACCCCAAATATGCACAAGTATGATACATCAATTTAAAAAAGATTTATTTTGGTCATGTCCAAATTGTATGTTATAATAATTATAGTTCCTAAATATGTAGCTATAATCTATTTTGCTTGTGTTTATGGAGGTAAGTTTCTGGGCCTTAACATTCATTTGAAGGTGGATTTCAAAAGTTTAAAATATGTATCACAAATCCTGAAGCAATCACAAAAATAGCAAAACGTTATGGCTGATGATTCAATAAACACGATTAAAATGGAATCACTGAAAATTTGATTAATCTAAAAGAGTGCAAAAATAGGAATAACAAAAATAGATGTGACAAATAGGCACTAAATAGTAAGATGATAAATTTAAATCCAATTACATTAATACTCCCATCAAATATAAATTGTTTAAATGCTCCACTTGAAAAGCAGAGATAGACTGGACAAAAGAAGATCAAATTATATGCTGCATAGAAGGAATACTTTTCAAATATTGAGTACAAATAGGTTAAAAGTAAAAGGATGAAAAAATACTAAAAAATCATATGCTAAGGTAGCATTCATAAAAAGAAAGCTGGAGTTAATCGATATCTATTAATATCACACAAAATAGATTTCAGAGCAAAAAATAGTACCAGGGGTACAGAAGTTCATTTTCTAATGAAAAAGGGTTGATTTGATCAAAAGGACATTAAAAATCTGTTTATGTACATATCAACAGAGCTTCAAAATACATCAAGCAAACACTGATATAATGGCAAGAAGAGACAAATCCATAATGACAGTTGAAAATTTCCACATTCCTTTCTCAGTAACAGATAGTACAAGTAGACAGAAAATCAGCAAAGATATAGAAAACCTGAGTAACTCTATCAAACGACACAAAAATTTTATGTAAGTTTCAGATTGAGATAATGAAATAAAACACATTAACAAGAAAATGTCTAGTCTATAAGAAAAATTAAATTACTCACATATGAAATCACTTTTTTACATAAATGGAGACAAAAAAGTATCTCAACAGTTTAACGGTTTAACCATAATTTTCTTTATGCTTCTTCCCTAAACTAATCTATATAAAGATTTCACTATAATAGACGTGCTGTTTACTGAATCTTACACATGGATAAGTAAATACTCATCTGTCTTAAAATTAATTTCAAGCCTGTATAACTTATGAAGTTTAAAAAAATTCATCTTATGAAACATACACTGAATCAGAATGCTTACTGTAAAAGGTAAAAGACAGGAAGTGAAATAGTTATTTGCAATAAATCATGGCAAACACTTGTCTATAGCTCACAAAATAAGTTTGAAAATAATTTTACAAAATATCTAATATTTATTCAGTTTAAGACGTCATTGATTATAAATCATGCCATTATTTTATGTTCATCTACGAAAGAATAAGTGCTCTCAATTAAATTGTGATGTAAGATACACCAATTTCTAAGATGTTAACATGTGAAATGTGCATGTGTCCTGAGATGTTACATGGGTGTGTTCTGAGATGTTAACATGTGACTAGATGTGGCTTTTCAAATCTAAAGCTAAAAACACATCTCTTCTAAAATAAATTTTGTGTGAACTAAATGTAGACTGTTGAATCACTTAAACAGCCATTACAGCCCTAGTGTTTCTGGGGAAATTTATAAATTCTCTGCCTTGAATATTTGAAGAAAGAAAGATAGTTTCAACCCCTCTGTCAGTTAATAATGCAATAACCATAAGGAAGTAAAAGGATTACATAACATAAAAATAATTATTAACTCAAATATTTAACATGTATAAAGCAGTGTTATATTCTCCTCCAAATCCTTCATCTGAGAGTTTTTGTTGATGTCTTCAGAAAGCTAGCATTCCTTGCACAGTGACTCTAAGCAACGAATTAACTTGATTTCACTAATCCAACTGAGGCCATATTTAAACATCTGATCCCAATTAGTCATTGATAAGGCCTTGAGCACTTTCATTCTCCAGGGTCTCACAGATACTGAAACCAATAGATACTATGAAAAGATGCTCAAAATGCTAAACATTAAAAAAGATAAAAATTGTATGGCATTGATTTGTACAGTGTGTGTGTATAGAGGTATGTATATATAAAATTCAAAGTAGATCATAAATTTAAAAGAAAAATAAAACAAACCTATGAATTAAAATACAATGAAGGAAACGGAGCAGAAAAACATCTGAGTTTTTTGTTGTTGAGCTGTGTAATCAAAATTGTTCTATTTCTAAAATTCCTACTTGTTACAATAATTAAGAAAATATAAATGTTTAAAAATAATTTCATTAATCTTTGAAATATTTTTCTCCAAAGAACATTTTATCTAACATCAGGAATTTATTTTAATAATGAAAATGACAGTGGCATATATTCTAGCAATAACTATTTACATATGTATTATGAGAAACTATTCAAGATTCTATCACCTTTATAAACTATTAGGTGAATCTTAGATAGTCAGATCTTAGGCAATTAATAGTATGAAAAATATTATCAGTAAAGCAATTTTTTTCCTCTAGGTTGCACCATTGCATACCAGACTGCAACCCCTTTACAGTACTATTCTTTAAAGCTTTTTATTTAACATATATTTTCAGTATATATGGATACTATTTTCAGTACAGATGTATAAGCAGTTAATTCAATCAAACTTGGGTGTAATTTGATCCTCCACTTCTGAACTTTATAAACCGATTTGGCTGACTTACCTTATCTTTTCTTTGCTTTTCATCCTGGTATACAGTCCAGTGTTCTCCATCATTGCTGTAAGCCAGTTTGTAGGAGCCAACAAACTGTACATGACCAAAATCTTTAGCTCCTTGTGTAATGATGCCAGTCACTTTGGTTGGAACAAGAAGATCCACCTTAAAAAAAAGAAAAATACAGGCTTTAAATGCGACAACCAAGTTGTAAACTTCCAAGTCTTTTGATGTCAAGAGAATAAAACTATATATATCCTAAAATCAAAAATCTGTCTAGTTATTTGTATTTTGAAACCAATGACTGAGTCTATTATTGGCTTATAATTTTGATATTGCCACTGGGTTAATGTAGTGCAAGACTCCTTGAACAACCATTTTTACCATTTTGAAGTCAAATCATGGTGATTTCAGTCCACCAATTAATTTTATATTAGGTGGATTCATCTATTTGTGCAGGTTTTTTTTTTTTTTTTTGTAACTGAGATAGAACAGATGTGGTTGGGGTGACCTTCTTGAGATTGATCACTACCTGCCAGAACTTTACTTATAGTTCAATTTTCTGATTTTATTGGTCATTTCAATGAAAATAAAAATAGCACTGTAGCTGTGTCCACATCAGGGACAAAAATAGTATTAGATTTTCACAATGGAACATTAGTCAATCCTGTTTCCATAAATTTTAATCAATTCAATAATATATAATTGAGTAATAGTAATCATTGTCCAGTGAAAACCCCCTTTTAGAAAATTACAATTCTAAAATGGTTGAGGAGGAAGGCAAATATTCTTCAAAAATGAAGAAGGATTAAATATATGCATTCCTGACTTGTAGAGTCTATGCTCATAATGTGTTCTTTTCTGCAAAACACATACTTTAAAGAGCATGAGACCCATGAAAATTTAGTAAGATTTAAAATCATCAAAATGTAATTGACATGCAAAAGATAGGAAACATTTTCATCAAGAATACGTAATATAGAATAGTTCGGTATTTTCCCTTTTTTTCTTTAATTCATTCCTGCATTTTTTCACATCTTATATAATGTTAATTTTTTAAAAATCTAGAATACTTTGTTTTTTATGCAGACAACTCTTGTAAGATCTTTGCCTTTTATGTTTATGTTCCTTGATCTACGGCTTCCTCTCTCTTCCTGCAATAGCCACTTACTTCCACCTATTTCCTATGACTAAGTGCCTTGCTACATCCTTGATCTTATCATCTTTAACTGTCATGATCCCATGTGTGATCTTGGTGCTTTCAACCACTATGTCCTTTTGTTTCTATTTCAGGTCCTCTATCCTGTGAGATGTAAGGTAGCCACAAATAGATAGTCATGGGTCAGATACAGGCCATGAATGAGAAGAGAGAGCTAGAGAGAATGCATAGAATAAGGCCATATTTAGTGACACAGATGCCCATCAGCAAAGGTGTGAAACAGTTTCCAATGTGTCACAGCCTGTGAATATTCAATATTTTTGAATTCACATGAGCTTTTTGTTAACTTTTTGGAGCATGTGTTAAAGCCTTTAGACTCAAGTTGCGTGATGGATTAGGACAAAAGACCACCTTTAATGCTCTATTTAAACATTTTCAAAAATCAAATTTTTTGGCTATTTTTCTAAACATGTATTATATTATCTAAAATGTCTTGTGTGTCCAGCAGTAATGCAGGATGGCAAAACTATGATATCCTGGGAAGGAAATGGTTGCTGTCTCACATTGTGCAAATGTTTTCTTCTGGGTCCTCATTTAATCCTCCCAATAACCAACCAAGGTAGGATATTAATTCCACTTTACAGATGAATAATTTAATATCAAGAGATGTAACATAATATGGTGTGTGATCCAAAAATAAACAGTGAATAGAGAAATATCACAGATTCAAATCAAAGGTGCACCATAGAGATTCTTAGCATAACGGATCAGTCATTGATTTTTGCAGTAAGTGATTACCATTGATCATTTATATTTTCTCTCAATGATTTCTTTCCACTCTCTGTGACTCCTTCAGAAATTTCTAAAGCATCACCACACTCGTCAAACTGACAGCAATTTAAGTCAAACAAAAACAATCCTGGATTCATAGTATTAGTAAAGCCCTGTGTTTTATCATGAATTTCTTCTCTGTTCTTCAGCTGTCTGGGCTTTAAAATATAGATTGCTTTTGTTGTCCTAAATCCAAACCTAACTGAGCAGAGACAGCAGGGCAAAGCTGCTCTTCTTCAAAGTGTTCTTAATGTTGCTGGCACTCAATACATGGAAAAAAAAGTCTTAAAGAACAGAGTTGGTGTTTTGCTATCACAGGCAGTCAACATACAGGAACTCAAACAGTGTCACCAAGAATATGAAAACCTCCAGGCTGAATTTCCTCAGGTCCTAAACTTCTATAAGTCCTTAGCTAAGATGATGCATTGAGGAGTTTTCTAACATCCCCTTTTCTGCGGTACTTTTAAAAGTCAGCTGGGTTTCCTGCTGGGTGGAGATGTTTTCTCCCCAAGTTGTGTGTCTTGGCACTTTCCAACAGATACGTTTTTCTCCCACTCTAACGGCTCCCCTTCTGCAACATTTTTTTTTTCTATCTAGAAATGTTTTTCTTTTTTGTTCCAGTTAAGCCACCTTCTCCACTTAAATAGTCAGCAATCTGTTTAAAGCTGGATTTTGTCCTAAAATTTGCGACATTAAACTTAGAGTACGAGGCCTAAGCAAACCTTCTTTCAGTACAAAAATAATCAGCAACTCACACTGAACATGAGGTTGCTGACAGAGGGCATGTATAGAACTCACCCTGAGAGGCACTCAGACCACATAACTCCAGAATTCGCCATGTAGAATGATTCTAGAAAAGCCCATTCCTTAGGACCTAATTCTTGACCCTGGTCTAGGACCGCTCTGCCCTCTTGAAGATCTTCAGGGTGAAAGTTGAGCTGCAAATATGCTGGACAAAATACCTTCTGGTCTTTCAGATCCTCACCTCCCCAAAGTTTGGCTAAAATAGGGCAGACTATTTAGGGCACTGAGCTGGCTCATGGGTAGACATTTGGCTTCATGCACTGCATGCACTTCATGTCTGGATCTGCCTTAAATGTGTCTTATATATAACAGGTGCTCAACAAACGTTTTGCTGAATTGAGTTGGGACTCCTTCTTAAGTATGTTCCATGGACAAGAACCAGTTCATGGCTATGAATGTCACTATGTATCAGAGCAGAAAATTCTAGCTACCTTTCTCTAGTTTTTCTATGAGGATTTTTCCTTGACACAGTGTCAAGGAAACACAGTGTCAATGTGGTATCCATCAATTTATACTGAAGAAGGCAAGTAGCAAAAAATCCTCTCCAATCTTAAGGAATTTGATGCTAAGAGTCAGCCTACTCTAACGGAACTGGGTGGTTTGGGGTACCAAGTTGGTTCAAGGATCTTGGACATGCTACTTTACCTCTCTACCTCCCAACTTCCTGATCTGAGAAATGAGGATAACAATTCTCATAGGACTTTATGAGAATAAGATGAGGTAATATTTATCGTGTGTACAGAAGTAGGTATAGCAATATATAAACACTATATAGTAAGTACTATGGAAGACTTTGGTAACATCATGAAATTAAGAAATCTGAGGGAAAAATTTAATATATGTTTCAGAATATCTTGTTAGAAGGAAATGGATACAGAGAAATGGGTGACTAGCTTGTTCTAGCAACAAGTTCTGGATCATAAAATATTTCGCTCACCATCTCAGGATATATACAAAAATAGTTATTTTACCTTTACTTAAAGTAGACAAATTTTGAAAAACCTGAAATTCCCATTTATGAGTGAAATGGTTAACTAAAAACAATGTAACGTTCTGGGTATGGTGGCTCACGCTTGTAATCCCAGCACTTTGGGAGGCCGAGAGGCAGATGGTTTGAGCTTAGGAGTTCAAGACCAGCCTGGGCTACCTGGTAAAACCCCACCTCTACAAAAATTACAAAAACTAGCTGGGTGTGGTGGCATACACCTGTAGTCCCAGCTACTTGGGAGGTTGAGGTGGCAGGAGGGCTTGAGCCTGGGAGGTGGAGGTTTCAGCAAGCTGAGACTGTGCCACTGTACTCCAGCCTGGGCAACAGAGCCAGACATCATCTCAAAATAAATAAAATAAATAAAACAACAAATTTTATATATTATGCATCTCTATTTTAATACTGATTGTGATGCAATGGAGATATAGCTTTAAAGTAATATTAAAAGAGAAAATAGATTCCAAATCTTATTGAGTTACTTATTTCACTCTAAGAATGAAAACAAGAGGGAGGATACTTAAGGAGAGAGGATTAAATGATTCAACAGTAAACAAAAAAGTATGGCATGAGAGTTCTGTGGGAATATAAACTTTTTTGTTGTAAAACATCCTGTAATGTTTTGGCAAAGCATAAATATTTTTAGAGTGTGTCTAACTTAGACAAATGGCATAGAATTCTGTGAGCATTTGTTTGAGGAAGTTAAAGATAAACTTCATTTCAGACATCTGCACAGCACCCTGATCACAGCTCCCTGGAAGAAGATGGGGCAGACTGGAAAATTAAGTTGATTTTCGTGAAGACATTCTTGAAGGGGTGAGGACAATGAAAAGTGATACAGATAAATAAGTGTGCAAGAAATGTGAACACAGGCCAGTTTCATCACAGAATTGTGCCACTCAGCTACATCTAAAATGCTCTTGTTTGTGCCTTCATATCATTTATTCTGAATTGTGTATTTTATGACTTCATAGAGTTTGTAAAATTAACTCATTAAACGGAAATGACTTTGAAGCTAATATGGTTAACTAGCACAGTATTTGAAAACTGACTTATAGGCAACGTATTTAATAACATTTGGTTTCGATACAGAATGTTTTATCTTAACATTACACAAAACAATTGTAGCTAGTCCCAGTTATATTTAAGGCACATAATTAATGGTACTTGGTATTTGGACAATATTGCTAGTTATTAGATGTTGGCTACACTTGTAGTCCATATTTGCAGGGCAACTAGTTAATGTGATTAATAATCTGAAATATTCAGCTCCTGTATCTGATTTGATCTAGTTCTGATCTAAAGTTTGGAATCCTTAAAATATGATTAAGGCCAGATAACATAAGCATTCTAGCACTCATTATTGCATTTTCCCCTTTACTAAAAAAATTTTAATTTTCAACAACATTTTAAGACACTTAACATAGCAATTGCTTTTTTCATGTAATATATTAAAAATACAATAACTAAAACCAAAAACTCATACCATGAAATAATCTGTCAAAGGATGAAGTTTTCTGTTGTATTGGTGTGTTATGGTATTTTTTTCACATGTAAAACCATGTACGACACATGTATGGTGCAATAAACAAATGTTCTAAGCTCAAGTGATCATTCAGCTGTGAGTTTTGTAGGACACCTGGCATATTGTAGACATTCCAAATATACAGGCATCATCTGCCTGAATACAAAATTGAGATAATTTTGTACTTAACAATTACCTGCAATTACAACATGAACAGTGCCATATGTCAATCTGAACTACAACTTATGATTGTTGTCAGCTTATAACTATTAATTTTTAAAAGAATTTATTTAGAATCATGCAAGTAGTTCAACTGCACGTTTTTCACTGAGAATGGGAGGTAACATGATAATTATGAATATTTTATATTTAACATTTTAAATTTTAATTATCTTTTTCATTATGAATAAGATATATGATCTGTAGAAAAATTTATTATTAGAAAACTTTAAAAACAAGTCTGTTACCATGAGATATAATCAATGCTTTCCTTCCCAATTCAAACATGTTTTCAGACAAATTTGTTGTTCTTGGCATTTTAAAAAATATTATTGGTTACCAGACGTTGGTTACACTTTTCATCCATATTTGCAGGCAATTAGTTTACTCTTTATTTCTTAATATTTCAATAGTAATTATGTTATTAAAATATTTTTATATTGTCTATTTTCAATATATATGTACTTATTTATACCTAGTATGTCATTTTAAGGAGTTATTACAATCATTAACTTACTATTAAACATTTACTCCCTCTATCCTCAATTTTTCTATTAAAATTAACATTCCCACACAATCATAGTCCTTTCATCCTGGGCCACATATCTCTTCATTCCTACAGCACAAATTCAAATAATTAAGGCTACTTGGTCAAAGGAAATGATTTTAAAAATAAACAAAAAAGGCCTTTTAAACATAAAAGAAACATACAAATAATAGTAATTCCTAATGACTATATAACATTCCGTATTGTGCGTGCATGAATGAATATGAAAATTTTTAACCAATCCCTTGTTGATGTTCATTTAATTTGTTTCCAATTCTTTTACTATCAGAAGAAAAACAGACTCAACTCTCATGTGTATTTATTTGCCCACTGGTGCAACTGTTTCCTTATAGACACTAAGAACCTGGCATTTGAAATGTGATACACATTGTTTCATTTATCTTCAGGAAAATTACACTCTTCCATCTGCTATATAAAATAACTCTTTACACACCAATCCCATTTTTAAATAAAATTTTACATTTAAATACATTTTATTTTTTAAAAAATTGATACATAATAATTGTACATATTTATGAGGTATCTAGTGATGTTTCCATACTGCAATGTCTAATGATCAGATCAGGGTAATTATCATGTCTATCATTTCAAACATTTATTATTTCTTTTTGTTCAGAATCCTCCTTGTAACTATTTGAAACCATATAATATATTACAGTCAACTATAGTCATCTGACAGTGGTATAGAAAACTAGAAATTATTTCTCCTATCTAGCTGTAATCTTATTTCCTTTATCAAATCTCTACCTAACTTCCCATGCCCTCTAACTTCCCAGTCTGTAGTATCCTCTGTTCTACTTTTTACTTCTATGAGATCAACTTTTTTTAGCTTCTACACAAGTGAGAACACGTGTGCTTAACTTTCTGTATATTTTTGACAATTGAAAAGTGGCATTTTTACCTTTAATCTACATAAATGTCACTAAGTGGCATTTAATTTATATTTTCTTAATTGTTCAGTGTCACTAATTATATATATATATATATATATATATAGTCTCTTTCATGTTCTTTGTCTATTACCTATTGGATTAGAAATGTTCCTGCTGATTTTTAAGAATTATTTATATAGTATCATATGTGGTTTCTGTTATATTTGTTGCATTTTTTTTCTAATTTGCTATGTCACTTAATTTTATTTTTAGCACAAGTTTTCAATTTTACTATACTCAAATGTATCAATTACTGTTTTCATGATTGCATATTTTTGTATGGCTAAAAAGATAATTTACTTGATTAGATCAGTTAAATCTACAATTTTCTCTGAGTTTTCCTTTCAAGTTTTATTTTATTCTTTCTTGCCCTTACTGAACCATCTTGGTTTTATGTGTATACATAATGTGACATAGGATCACAGTATATATATATATATATATATATATATATATATATATATATTTAAGAACATAATTTTTTCAACACTATTTGTTTTATAATCTATTTCTTCTTTGTTCTATCCCCCTACCTGAGTGATTCTTACAAGGTTTGCACTTTCTTCTAGAAATTAATAGTATTAATCATCATCATCCACCAGTATATATCTTGATAAAGGTTTCTTGTATTGCTTTGGACAGAACAAAGTTGGTGCATTCAAGCTGCAGACTGTTTTCTAGGAGAAGACATGCTCAAAAGGTTTTCTTGAGTTATATTTTAAAATATTGCTTCTGCTTCTTTTTGGTGTCTCATTCTAGAAGGCCAGTTGTCCAAAAGCTGAGTTTTTATTTCTGAGGTTTTTTTTTGTAATATTTTCTCACTCATCCTTTTCATTTATTTATTATTTTCCTCTGCATTCTCAGAGAGTTTCTCCATTCTGTCCTTAATATTATAGATTTATTTTTGGTAATGCAATTTTAACATATATTTTAATCTATATTTTGAAATATATTTCAGGGAAATTGGAAAAATATAGCACCTCTCTTATTTTCTCAGCATTAATCTTACCTTCTCTATTACTCCTCTATTATGTCATAAAGAAAAAAATATCCTTTTTTCTTTTTTTTTTTTTTAAAGAGACAGGGCCTTGCTCTGTCACCCAAGTTAGAGTGAAGTGCATGATCATAGGTCATTGCAGCCTCAAACTCCTAGGCTCAAGCCATCCTCTTGTCTCAGCCTCCTGAGTAGCTAGGGGCATGCACCTCCATGCCTGGTTAACCTTTTATTTTTTGCAGAAAGTGCCTTGCTATTTTGTCCAGGTTGGTGTTGAACTCCTGACCTCAAGCAATCCTCCACCCTTAGCCTCCAAAAATATTTTTATATATGCTCTTGAAATTTGGTTGTTTTTTTTATCCGTAGAATATTTCCCACTTAAAATTTTTTTTTCATACATTTAGAAAAATCCCTATTCTTTTCTTGTTCTGCACATTTAAAAAATAGGACCTATATTATCTTGTTTTCCCTTCCTTTACTTAACTTGAAATGACAGAGAAGAGTCCTGGTGTTTGTCACATGCCAGTCATATAAGCTCCTCTTTGTCCCTTACCATCTATCAAGCAGTTGCAAGAATTTCTTAGACTTTCTACCAATGCCCAGCAGACATTTAGGCAGTACAGTTTATCTGGTCTAAAGCACAAGACTCTCCTCCTCTTGCTGTTTTCCTCTGAATATAGAAAAGTTATTTATTTTCTTAATAATCCAAAATCCAAAGCTTTCTGTTATTTTTTATTCAATGGAGATTTTGCTGAGATAACTGAACATCCATTGTTTATTTCTCTATTATATAATTTATGTATTATCACAATGTTGTCAATCTTCTCTTGTCAAAATGTAAAATCACAGGGGCAGACAACTTGGTCTATGTTATTTGGCATGTGCCTGGCCTATATGTTTCATGAAATATCTACTGAATGAACAGTTTCATATTTTAGGATTAAGTAAGCTAATGCATCCAATGTGTATTCTATTCATCTTTGTCACATTTGTATTACTGAAGGTTTACTCTGTCTGCAAATGGGAATGGTGGGGTGTTAGGAAGTCAAGTACTGACTACAGCAAGATGTTTCTGGTTGTGGCAACATGACCACTGAGCCTCTAGCCTGCTGTGCAGGCTCTGAGTCTTGGCCACTGCTGCCCTGATTCAGATGTCACAGTTCACACACTGTAGTGACAGGAAGACACTGCCCAGAGACTGCAAAGTTACCAACAGGCATCCCAATGCACATAAATTTGTGCCCATCATCAACAGGATGATGGGAAGGGAATGAAAGCCTGCAGCAGTCATGACTCATAAGTGGAATGAGTAAAATAATGTATGTGATTTACTCATAACCATAATACAGGAACACTAAAAATCAGGTATACTTTATCAGCTCCAGGGAAACTTTCCAAATATAGTTGTCAGCAGTGTTTGAAAAAACTCAACCAGGCTTCACTAAGACTCCATGTATACGAATGAAAGTCCATCCATCAAGATCTCATTAAATTTCAAGTGAGTTTAAAAGATAAAAACAGCCAAAATTATAAACCTTATTAACAAGCACATTTGGAGTTAATAAAATGATATTATAAAGATTAAATATAATGTTCTTGTATTAAGTCATGACATATTTTTTAAAACTTGAATTTCTGTCTTTTAAAATGAGCAGATCTTTATAATATCCTGTATGCATTTTATTTTGAAATTGTTCTGAAAAAATAATTCTCAAATAATTTTAGTTATAAGTAACTAAAATTGACATCAAGTTAGGCTAATTATCCAATTTCTTCAAGACCTGTGTCAGAGAGATTAAAGCATATTTGAAGAAAAATATAAAACATTGGAAAGTTTTAGGAAAAAGAATCACCCTTTTCTTACTGGATTACTGAAAGTGACTTTCTGCTGAGTTCATCAAAAATAAAATCACCCTGGGTGAGCAGAATTAACATATCTTCCTTATTTGCCTTTCAAGCCTGATTTTGATTAGTCTGGGGACTTTGACTTATTACATGAATAAAAAATTCAGGGTGGTGGTTAATTGAATTAGTCTATAATTGATAGGGTCATTATTAATTGATTAATGGAGATTTAATACAAGTTTTTGATCAAAGAGCATAATGATATCCAATAAAGATTTTTCAGGTACTTTAATTACAGCAGTGACTGCACAAATAAAGTAGAAAACACAGACAATTATCAGTAAATAATTTGCATGTGATTTAGAAAACAATTACATACTTTTAAGTAGGACCTGAAAGAGTTTGTTATTTAGTATTTTTTGATAGCACAGTGTGAACGTTGTATAGGTCAGCATTGTGTCAGGATCTTTTGGATAGCTAAAGACTCAGTGAGCTGGTGATCAGACTTGCAGGTACTTCAAGTAGCTACAATTTAGTTGATTGTTTACACGTGTAAAAACTATCTGAATATATCTTTGACAATTACTTTACTGAATATAATTTTATGCAAAGTGTTGTATTATGTAAAGCCATTATATAAAGACTGGTGTTTCCAAACACAAAACATCTATATACAAATTTGTGTGTCAATATGTAGAACTACATGCATCTTATTCTGTGGCAAATACCATAAGAACTGAAAATATAGGTTGGTGCAAAAGTAATTGTGGTTTTGACCATTAAAAGTAATTGGAAAAACCACAATTACTTTTGGACCAACTTAATAAAACATCCGCAGAGTAAAGTATATTGTAATAGCAAATCACATTGCATAACTAAGTATTAGGAGGTCCTTGAAAGTTTGGAAAACTGACAGAACACACAATGTATTTTTGTGCTTTGTGCTTGCTGGAGGAGCTATGCATTTTATGTTGATATAAAATTTAACCATTCTTACAATTTGTAAATCGTCCACAGAGTCCTTTACATCATTTTGTTTCATCAGACCATGTGAGCCTGAATTCTAGATTTTTTTAGTCTTAGTTGGGTATGTGCATGTTTTATGGTGATTGCTTTTTAGGCTAAAACAAAAACAACAATCCAAAGAAACCCAGATGTAACTTTTTTCCCTTTGACCTTATCAAAGGAAGTGGAAGGGGCATGGCCTCTTAGAAATCAAGCAGAAGGTAAATGCTTCAAATCGCTTTGGGAAAATGTGCCATCAACGTTAGCAGTCGAAAAACAGCCCAGGTCAGCAGAGAGTTTGGAAAAGATTGGAGGGGAGAGAAGAGGGAGATGACTCAGCAGGAACAGAATTGCCTGCGGATTCTGGGGTTAAGAGCCACTGACACAGAAAGTGGACTGCCCCAAAGGATGACAATTAAAAAAAAAATTTTTTTGTTCAAAGATCAGAGTATACATATAGTAGGAATAAAAGGGATACGAATTATTTCCATTCAAATGCATGGTCCGTAACACTGTGAGCATTATATTTGTATAACAAGGGCAAAGAGCCTCCAGCAGATCTGGCAGGGCTATCTAGTTCCTCAGCATTTCAGTCACCATAAATTATACTTGTAGTCTTAGAGAGCCTCATTAAAAGTCATGATTATAGACTTTCTCACTGAATACCCATAAAATCAACATGTTTTATCTACTCATATTTATATTAATTTATTTATTGTGTATATATATCTTATGTATATTCTTCTTCTGTTATTGATGCTAATTTCCATTTGCTTTGTTCTCTGTAGAAATAAGGAGCAGCTGTTGTATTCTTAAAACTCCAATCTCATCAATCTTTTCCTTTAGGTCCTAATATCTATTTCCTTAATATAGTTACCAAGGTCTTTTGAGCTTAATAAATGGTAAAGTATAGAACCAGATGTTGAATGCTGATAAAATCTGAATATGATTTAATGAGTATATTTTAATTAAGTCCTACAGTACGATGTGGCCTGAGTATTTCTATGATGAAGCCCAAAAAACATATATGGCTATAGTTATAAAGTTCTGGCTTGAATGTAAGGTATATAACTTTCATAAAATATTTTGTTCTTGACTGCATGTGAGCAATAAGATGCTTAGACTTTACTTCTTTTGAGAAATGGCCTACATTTAAGGGACTCATATATATGCCTCTCTCAGAAATTACACAAGGGCTAATTTCTTTCTGCACTCAGCACCAAATAACCTTATATTTTAAAAATCACAGTCTTAAGCTCTAAAACTATTCATGCACTGTACTTTCTATTACTATAAAATAGCTCATAAACCACAATCTTAAATTAGGTATAGAATTAATAAATCACTTGAAACAAACTCATTATATTAAACTTATTTTTTTGCATATGTATTCAAGATTTTAAAAACTTCTCAAGTTATAGTTCACTTAACTGAGGACTCATTTGTAGATTTAAATAAAGAATTTTATAAGACACCTCCATCTGTTGAACATTTTTTACATAACTGTCTTTGATATTTGATGGAAGGCTTCAGGCTCAAAGCTGCTGACATTTTAAACATAATTTGAAAAAAATCAGATGTGACATCAACAGGAAATAGATGTATAATTCCTTTTTTATATATTATAAGTGTTTAAGGATCCTGAATTCCAAAGATATTTTTAATGAAGTTGAAACACTGTTTTAAACAAAAGAGGAATCTTGTAAAAATTATTAGAATGACACTAAAAGTATAATATCAGAAAATTAACTTACAGTGGAAACAATCAACATGGAGGCATCAGAACAAAAACAAATAAAAAAACTATCCTCATAAACAACTCACCAGATACGTCTCAAGCTTCTGGCTTATTGTATTAAAAGAGGTTATTTTGACATGCCTTTCCAATTATGAATAAATCTGTTACATTTCAAGAAATGCTAAAATATCTATTACCTTAGGAATTAGAATATAAGCTATGACATAAAATTTATGTTAAACAGAATCACTATAGGCCCAACACAAATGACTCCTGAAAGTCTTCCTAAGACACTAAGAACAGAGGTCACACACATATATATTTATACTGCCAGATTAATACTCTGTATTTTGAAAAACATGGCCTTGTGTTGGGATGCATTGCTTCCAACTCTTTTGTAGAGTAGCATTTTCTTTAAAAAGTAACAGACAATGACATAAGTTGTCATGTTGACAATATGCTTCAGGAACGAGAAATATCCTTGTTGTTTGGGAGATTGAAAGGTAAACTGTCAAGACTAATTCTGAAATAACACTTTTTTTCTGGAAAGCTTTCATGTCAAACAACTAATGTGCTGTATTTTCAAGAGGGAAATAATAATAACAATTCATTAATACAGCCCAGGCATTAATGAATGTGTCAAACATTTGTACACTGAGAATGCTTTTTGCCATAGACTTTTTAGCAGACACATTTTATTAAATCAAGAACTTTCCCTAATCTATTTATTTGCAATGAAAATTTTAAATCATGAATGACTCTATCAGATTCTATGAAATTATATCTCTTTTCATATTAAGATAATCATGCAGGTTTCTTTTTTAATTAATTAATACAAAACCATCACCCAACCAACCCGAGAACTGTGACATCGACAATACCTATGTTAACCCTGTTTAGCCTGTCCTTTACTTCTCCCCACCAAGTATACTCAATCCTAAATTGTTTATTGTGCCCTTGCTTTTTAAAATATAATTTTATAATTATGAATGTACTCCTAAATAATAATATTTAGTCTTGTCATAAAATTTATAAAGAATTTCATACAGGAATCTTCTGGAACTTGTTTCTAAAACTCAATATTATATTACTAAGGTTCAACTAAATGTTTGTTTATAAAGTTACTTTATTTTTACTGCACCATAACATTCCATATATGCATAAATGACAATATATTTATCTCTTCTCCTGTCATTAGTATTTGATTGTTTCCAGTTTTTGGCTTTTAAAATCAGTGTGAGGAACGTTCTTATACTTATCGCTTGGTAAAGATACTCAAAATTTTTACTTGAAAATATATCTAGGAGTAAGATGTTTTTGGTTGATGAGTATACGAATGTTTAACTTTACAAGATAAGAACAATTTTCAAATATGGTTTTGCCAATTTGTGCTACCACCATCAAGATATCTACATCCTTCAGCTTTAATTTCCTAACTTGGTGATTACCATTAGAAGATTTTTTTCAAGTGAAAACATTTTATGCATTTCTGAAATAAATTTTCCTTTACTAGAAAACATATTTAAATGTTGATGTATTCTATTTGCTAATATTCTATTAAAGACTTCTACATCATTGTTCACAAGGAAGATTCTCAATCAATTTTTTTTCTTGTACTCTCTTTATCCACTTTTGGTGCCAGGAAGTCATGGTTTAACAAAAGAATTTGCGAAGCTTCACTCTCTGTCTTCTGTGGAGTAGTTTGTGTAACACAGAGAATATATGTTTTCTGAAAGCTATAAAGTCTAATTCAATATCTTTAATTATAAGTCTATTCAAGATTCCTTTTCTTTTTCCCTTGCTTTTTCTCTTGAACATATATATGGGTTTTCAACTTCTCTGAGTAAGTTTTGGTAATGTTTCTTTTACTATAACAATTTTTACTACATTTTAAATGCATTGGCATAAAGATGTTTATATTAAATTTTTTCTACTTAGTCCATATTTCAGCCTACTTTTTCATAGTGAATATTTTTTCTTTCTTTATTCTCTTGGATAATTTTGTCAACATTTTAACCATTTCATTAGTTTTCTTCAAAGAACCACCTTCTAAACCTAGAAATAAAAGGCGATTTCTTTTAATGAATAACAGATTTCCTATTCACTTTTACAGCAAAATTAAATGCAGGGTGAAATTCTGGAAGAATCTCCTTCAAATCAGATAGCAGGTATCATGTTCCAACAACCTCTTGTCTTAAACGCTATACTGAAGACTTTATATAAAACAATAACAAGAGAAAAGAAATAAGCATATAAAATGAAATAGGAGATACAAAATTGCTGCTGTAAGCATATGATATAATAGAAAAGGAAAAGACTACAAACACACTTTACAATGAATAAGATAGTTTAGCAAGGTTAGTTGATACAAGATTGTTATTGGAAATCTGTAACATTTCTATCCACTAGGCTCATCCAAATAGAAAATGTAAATTTTAGAAACCCATTCACTACAACGACAAATGTTTTTATGGTATTACAGAATGGGCATCTACACAGAGATTGAAGTCCTTAATAAAAAACAATTTTAACACCTTTGAATAACTCAACAGAATACCTAAATAAATGAAAAGATATAACATATGTCATAAATGAGAAGCCTCAATGTAAAAAAGATATCAATTTACTCTAAAAGTCAGCACATTTAAAAACAAAATTCCTTCAGAATTTTGGAGAAATGTGCTAAACTGATTTGAAAATCTATGTGAAAAAATGAGGGACCAGGAAAAACCTAGATAATTTGCTGCATGGCTAGTGGTGGTAATAGGGTGAGGTACTATTGCCGCCTAAGATTAACCCTTAAAATAAGTAAAGCTATACAATTAAACAGTGATACTGTTATAAGGATAGACAAGCAGAAAATCATAACAAAACAAAGACAGAAACAGGGTCATCTGAAAGCTTGGTATGGATTGGAAATGAGAACAACCCAACGGAAGTTGGACTCAATAAAAGATGCTACAGAAATTGGCTGTTTATACAGAAAATGAGTCCTTCTTTTCACAGTATCCCAAATTAAATCCCCATAGGCTAAATCTCTTAAATGTAAAAAGTGAAACTTCAAGTATTTCAGGAGAAAATATGAAAGCTAGCATTTGTGACATGAAGTAGAAAGTAATTTTTAAGCAAAACATAAAAATGACACATTTTACTATATTAAAATGAAAATTTCCATACAACTAAAACATAGTAAACAAAATCAAAAGAAAACATAGAGTCTGAGAGAAGATATTCTTACAAAAGTCCTAAGAACTATGATAAATTGTTACAAAGGCAAACAAACCCATAGAAAAATTACAGACAAGAGAGACATAGGTAACTCAGAGAGTCTGAAACTCTTTGTAGGATGAGACATAAATGAAAAGATGAGAAGTTTCATTAGTAATCACGGAAATACAAATTACAACAGCACTTAGATTCTATTTCACATCCCAAACTTAAAAGTTCAACAATACTAAGTGTTAGGTGCTGGCGAGTAGATAGAGCAAGAATAACTCCCAGGCACTGCTGATGAAAATCCAAATTGGCTTAACAACTTCGTAGGACAAATTAATAATATTTAGTGACATTGAAAATGTACACAGCCATTGATTCAGGAATTGCACTCCTAGACATATTTCTGAGATAAATTATCACAAGGAGACATATATAATAAACTTATCTGTAGCATTACTGTTTTAGCAAATAATTATGAAAAGTTATAAAGTCTATGAACAGAATTGATAACTAAATGGGATTAAAATGGGAATACAATAGAATTATATGTATCAACTTGGAAAAATCTCAAAAATATATTATTGAACAAATATGAAAACATTAATATAAATGAGATAATACATTGCAGATGAATATGAACGTTTATATTTTTTAACTTTAAGGTAGCATAGAAAGGTACCCATGGTAGCTGCATAGACATTGCCATCATTACCTTTTTCTTCTGACACAGCCACCAACTGTCCCAGGACCTCCTGGAATGAAGGCTAGGGTGAGGTCTAGATTGGACATATAGGGGCTCTATTGCCTCAATTTGACTCTTCGGAGGTCAAGAATTCTCTTACCATTTATGATTCTAATGAATACATGAACCATAGGTTCCTATGCAGTAGCCCTAATGGGCCGGGTAACACAGCTCAGAAATTTGATGACATCAATGTCTTGTAGGGCAGACTCTGATCACTGAGAAAAGAAATTGGAAAAAACCTAATAGATAACATTCTGCTCCCTTCCCACCTCTCACTGTAACCAATAACATCAATGCACAATGAAACTCTTGAGACCCTCTGGAGACTCTGAGCAACTCAGCACCTATGTTTTCTGGTGAAACTGTAGTTAGTTCAATTACTTACAAACATTTTACCTATTTTCCTTTCTTTAGTTCTGCGTTCTTGCTGTCCTGAGATTGTACCATCTAAAAGTGTCAGCTTAACTTGAGGTGTGTGTTTTTTTTTTGTTTTTGTTTTTTATGGGCCCTTTGGCTGAAACAACCATTTATAGAGTATTGTTTATTATTTACTATAAAACGGCAACAGAAGCTAAGGCAATTAGGTAAGAAAATTAAATAAAAGGTATCTGGATTGGAAAAAAGTAAATCTATCTTTATTCAGATGGCATGATCTTGTATATAGAAAATCCCTGTAATCCCAGTACTTTGGGAGGCTGAGATGAGCAGATCACAAGGCCAAGAGATCAAGACCATCCTGGCCAACATGGTGAAACTCTGTCTCTAAAAATACAAAAATTAGCTGGGCCTGGTGGCGCACACTTGCAGTCCCAGCTACTCGGGAGTCTGAGGCAGAACAATTGCTTGAACCTGGGAGGCGGAGGTTAAAGTGAGCTGAGATTGCGCCACTGCACTGAAGCCTGGTGAAAGATTGAAATATATATATATATATATATATTTATATATAATAAATACATAAATAAAAATTAATAAAAAAGAAAATCCCAAAGAATCCACTAAGAAATATTAGAACTAATAAACAAATTCAATGAGTTTGTAGGAAACAAGATCACTATATAAAAGTCAACTGGTTTTCTATATCCTAGTGATGAACGATCTAAAAATGAAATTAAGAAAACAATTCTACTTACAGTACCACTAAAAAGAATAAAATATGTGAGGATAAATTCAACAAAGGAAATGCAAGACTCATACAGTAAAAACTACAAAACATTGTTGAAAGAAATTAAGGAAGACAAATAAATGAAAAGATATCTCATGGTTATGGATCGGAAGACTTAGTATTGTTAAATGGCAATACTCTCCAAATTGATCTACAGGTTCAACATATCCCTAACAAAATCTCAACTGGCTTCTTTGCAGAAGCTGACAAACTGATCCTGAAATTCATATGGAAATTCAAGAGGCCCCAAATAGCCAAAACAATCTCAAGAAAACTCCACAAAGTTTGAGGATTCCTACTTTTTAATTTCAAAACTCACTAGGAAGCTAGAAAAATCAACACACTGTGGTACTGGCATTTAAATATAAATATATGTGTATGTACATATGTATGTACATGTGTATACATACTTGGAAATAAGTATGTATTTGAACTAAAAATGGGATAATGTTAACTTTTGTTAAATTTGAGTATTATATCATTCTCTGTGTATGATTACAATATTTTTGTAATTTAATAAAACAGTATATTGTGAACTCCAGGGATGGAATGAAATAATCTTTGTATTTGTTTTTGCTTCTTAAATATTCAGTAGGGGTGAGGAAGGATAGAGTATTTTAAGGTGTCAGCCTAAATTTTTCCAGTTAACACTGACACTATATATTTAGTTTTTGTGTATGACTCAAAAACACTAAATCCGTGAATGCAAAGTAACCGATGATTAGCCAACTTCTGAATATTTTTAAACAATTCTGCTACCCCAGAGTATTGTAACTTTAGGTCAAGCAGAAACTAATAACAGGACTGTTTAAAATCAAATATCTTTATTTTTACTTTTTGTATTTCACATG
Organism: Homo sapiens; assembly: GCF_000001405.40. Lineage (NCBI taxonomy): Eukaryota > Metazoa > Chordata > Mammalia > Primates > Hominidae > Homo > Homo sapiens. Next base: position 83,981,775 of record NC_000005.10, read on the forward strand.
ACCTCTTTTTATTATCATTTTTTATTATTACTACAGCCATATAACTAACATTAAGTCATTCATTTTAAAGAAGACTTTGCCATCTGCTAGCCGAATTCATTTTGTATTACTTGTTTTCAAATTTCTACATTTCTGCTGCATCTGGCACAAAATAAATATGGCAAAAAAACATGAAATAACAATTTAAGCTACAATATTTCATAATTTATATAACAAAATTAGGTTTTCCAAAATGGCAGATAGACCTGCTCCGGTATAGAAACTATATATAATTAAGTTATCTCCCATCAATGCTATCATGTTCTTAAGTTTTACCAAAAAAAATCTAACACATGTGATTTAAAGATTTCTTAAAACTATGAATAACAGTATCAAAATTTGATGAAACTAATTAAAAAATATTTATTGGCTTCCCAATATGTTCTTCCACTCCCTCCCAGCTTTTCTTATATGGCATAATGCCTAGGTCAGAGCTAGATCTTCAACAAATTTTATTTTGCTCTTATTTTTCCATTACTGAATGAGGCCAAAATTAATATATCAATTAATAACTTAAAATTAATAGATCTATATTTCATATTAATTTGAAACTCAAATGTAAGGGCTCTAAGCATTTCATTAAATAGCCTCTTTCTATTTCCTCAATTATTCCATGGCAAATCTCTCCAATTTCTCCTCCCAGGCTTTCCTGAATACTCCTGTCTTTGTTGAGAATTTTGGCTGTTGTCTGTAAATATTTCCTCCTTTTTCTGAGATTTCTAACTCATATTTAAGGGCATAGCATGAGGATCACATATTTTTGTAACTCCTTCCCTGGCATTCTCTTTGTAGTAGAGTTGACTTCTTTTTATATCTCTAGAATAAGATTAATAGTAATTTCGTGTATAATAATAATTTTATTGAGTGCTTATTCATCACTAGGAAGTGAAATAAGTATTCACATGATTTATCTACTCATCCTCTGAGTTAGTTTCTATTACTGTACAGTGTTACAATTCAGGGAGCCTCAAAGAAGCTATGTGACTTTTTCAAGGGCTTGTAGGTGACAGAATAAAGATTTTCCACTCAATCTATCTGATGCATGTTTGGCCACTGTGCTGAATTGTTCAGGTTGGACCCTACAAAAGGGCTCCTGGTAGATGGGGCACAAGTGGAAGCCAAGCCTCAGTCTGTATTCTGTTTCCCAAATTGTACACTCTTGAGTGGCTGCAACAGCAGCCCGGAGGAAAGAGATTCATTTTTCTCATGGGTCTCCCCCAGTGGAGGTACTTTTTTGTAACTTATTTGCTCGAGTGAAAAGCCTTTTTATAATTGCTTTGAAGGAACCATATGAACTAGTATGGGTTTTAGTCAGGTTCTAGAACCTTTGCTCCCAACGATCAGTTTATAGTCTCTTTAGTATATCCTTCCACTATAGTACGTATCGCATTGGGTTTGCAGTAATCTGTTTACAAATGCTTGTCCGCTGCTAGATTTCGTGCTCCTTGAGTGCTCCAATCATGTTTCTGTAATCTTTGCATTTTTAAAACTTACTGCAAAGTCTGTGTATATTAGGTATTGAGGAACATGCTTATTAATTAGATAGGTCGACGGATGAAATGAAAGAGATTGGATCAGGAACAGAAGTTGAAGTTTGTTTTTAAAATATAGCAAGATCAATTTTTCTTCATAAACAGCAAGGAAAAATTACGTGTAAATAGCCAAAGAAATGTTTGAGTGAAGAAAAAGATCTCTTGAGACCAAAGTTTTAAGGTGGAGTATTAAGAACTTCATGTTATACTCCATGGCACTGTGAATTTGGCAGCATTGTGCAATACAAACTTTGTCAGGAAAAGATAAAACTTAATGAGAATGACTTTAATGCCTTTTCAGTAATGCACAATGGGGGAAAGGTCCCCAGATTCAAAGAGTAGTAATGAGAACCAAAAACTCAGGGACAATCTGACAGGTGGGAGGACAGGGACTTTCTTTTTTTTTTTTTTTTTCACTGTTCATTCAATCTGAGTTTAAATCAAGATAAAGAGCATGGAAGTGACAGCCAATGGCAGCATACAGGAATAGGAATGGGTTAACACAGCCAGGTAAGAAATGGATAGATAAGGATCTAGGGGCAAGTAGAGGAAACTAGTAGAATATAAAGTCTGATGCCAATTTGCCAAGTAAGCGTCAGAATCAGGAGACTAAGAAGGGGTATAGATTAGATTCTCTTGCTAGGGCTGGAAAGGTAGTCTATGCAAATCTGAACTCAGCATTGACTTAAGAGGCCAGGACAGAGGAACAATGGACACAGGGTAAGAAAGGGAGGCTAAGTCAGGGCAGTTGGTTCAGAGCGTCTTGGGAAACAGGAAGTTAAGAATGTCTGATTAAATTTCAGGGACCCAAGAGTGAAAAAAGTCAGAAGAGATGCTACGGAAAGTTGCAGAAATGAGACAAGTCGAGCAAGGCATACTATATGGAGTATGTGTAAAATAGAATACAGTGTGTGTGAAAGTGAGGTTGTGGGATAGGGAATATAAGGGGTTCTGGAAATATCTGGCAAAAAACAACAGGTAAAGCTCTAAGTACACAGACTCTCTATATCATAGAGCAGAGACCTGGGCATAAGAGTATGTCTTGCCAGTAGTTGGATTCTTTTCTCAGCAAACACTGGTGAGGTTAAATTTGGGAAATGGTGGAATATCATCCGGGGAATCAACTGGAAAACCAAGTAGGATTGTGGTCCAAAGAAACAAATCAATAGTGCAGCAATTAAAAGCTACATACGGTGACAAAGAGAAACAGCAGTTCTAATAATGCTTGGCTCAGAGTTTATATGGCAGGGCTTTAAATGTCCACTGTCTAGGACTCTGGGAGGTGAACCTGAAAGTATGCATGAAGTACCCTCAGCATTGGAGCTGGAAGTTTGCAGAGCAGGAAGCCAGGCAGATCATTATGTTGAATTCTATCTATGTGAACCAAGATCTGAGGGTCCCGAAAGACAGGGTGCACGGGATGTCGTCTGCTTCACCACTGTTCCTGGCATAAAATACAATCCATTCACACTCAGCTCTGCCTAGGACAGCTTAGGTGTTTTGTTGAAGGAGAGGGGGAATGCAGAGCTTACTTTCATGTATAATACATTATAGCATTAAGCCAGGTATGCTACATGCATGCACACACACGTATGCAAACATACACCACACACACACACACACACACACACACCCCATAAACATGCACGCTGAACAAGCATGATATGATTTCTACAATTTTTAAATTTCCTCGATTCTCTTTTCAAACACTCCCTGGATTCCTTCTTTTTCCCATTCCAGCCTAAATAAAAGGAAAAATGTAGGAGAATGGAGAAGACTTTTTCTGCTTGGTGCCTCTAGATTCTTTTTCATGCTAATCGTATGCTATATTTCCTTGCAAATTGATTACACCAGAGGAAAAAAATCACAAATAAGTATAATTAAAACTGCTCATGATCAATATGAGGCATTGCACTAGATTTCTGTTCTAGCATAATGATTTCTCTAGTTTAGCAAGTCTTGGTGAGGCATAACTGCTGGAAAAAAAATGTATATTTTTGTATCAAATTTTGTTTGGACAAATTTTTTTAAAGACTCTAATTCTTTTCTTTGCTCTTGCTTATAAATATGAAGTGTTTACACTTAATATTTTTTGGTGACAGAATTTAATTGAATTGAATTGTGGTGTCTGTATGTTGGTGCAGTGCTTGGAAAGCTGTGGGAAATGGGTGCTGTTTGTATACTAGAGTAACAAATAGGGCCAAACACCCTCTGTTCTAAAATTTCTTGCTTATCTCTGTTCCTGAAATCAAATTTGGGTACAAAGAAGAAAAATTCACAACTTACCTTTGTAAAATAAGTAAATTGGCCTTGATTTTATGTCTGTCTGAACTCTCTTGTTGATTGTTTTATTCATTTTGCCTAGCACCAGCTATACTAGGTAAAATTATTTTTAATAGGTAAAATATATAATTACCTATATATAATTTTAATAGGTAAAATATAAAATAATAGGTAAAAATATTTTTAAATTCACTATTTTTATTTACACAATTTTAAATCTGCTTTTCATAGTTGTGTGAATAGGTTTGTATTGTTATTTCATATATCAAGTTCCAACTTGCTTTGGGTCATTCTGATGTTGGAATTCATGCATTTTTTACTTTAAAGGTTTACAGTGAAACATAAAATTTCCTATTACGAAGTACAGGGCTGCAATGTAGAACACAAAAATAAAACCTGAAAAACAAGGTTAATTCTTACTGGGAAAAGTGAAGGAGTGGTTAAATATCTTGATTTAGAAATAAGCATGTATACAAAGTGTTCAGCACCACTTTTTTTAATCTAATAAATAAAAAGGATATAATTAACAAACCACTTCAACAATAAAAGTTAAAGCAATAGCTAGTTTAAAAGAGCGCAGTCATCAAGCAATCCCCAATACTTGCAAAATTTCTTAAACTCTTGCATATTGATAAAATTCCAAATAACCAAGATGTAGTTTATATTACCAAGTGTCTTCCATCATATGCTTTATGGTGTAGAACTAAAACTAGCAGATATAGATATAAACTTGAATTTGTTATGCATTAGCTTGGTGACCTTAAATTAACTAACTTTCCTGAACTTCAGTTCTAAAATGAGAGGCATTACTTAGAAGAGTTTTGAGGCTCTTTTCCATTTGAAAATCTTGGCACTTCATTATGCTGCATGTTAATTGGTAGCAACTATCTCTGTTTACTCCGTTTTTATACTGTATTTATCCAAGCATCAATCCAATATTTATTGAGTGTCTACTCTGTGCTAGGCACTCGGGTTACTAAAATTCCCTTGTGGGGTCTGAGTATAGTGGGACAAGCAGACTTGTGTATATATATATTGTAGCACAGAGGTGGGTCCCCTGCAGGCGTAAGAACAAAATACCTGTAGAAGGGACAGCCAGCAGAGTCCAGGTGAACCTGAACATTGAAGGATTAGTAGGAGTTAGACAGTGGAGAAAAGAGGAAAGGGCATTCTAGACCAGGAGAAGTGCACTTGCAAATGTGAAATATCTTGAAGGGGCTTTATGGTTTGGAAAAGGAGAATTTCCATGTGGCTGGAGCACACAAGAGAATAACCATGGGAGCAGGAGGCTGGAATGGAAGGTTTGAGTGAATTTGGGAAGGGACTTTCTTAGTAACGAGCCATGATCAGGAAGCTAAGAAAGTTACAGTCTAAGGAATGGAGATTTTAACTTAAATGTGCCATATTAAAAATAAAGGTAATTAGGTTTTCACCATGTACTCCACTTGAGCAAATCCTTTAACCTCTCTGGACTTTAGGTTCTCTGTAAAATGTGATCATTAGACTTTCCCAGGCCTTCCCTCTAGCACCATGCTTCTGTTTTTCAGTCTTCTTATGTTTATCTCTAAAACTGCAGTTTCTGGTTATAAATTGCTGTGCAGGCTACTCCATTTGCAAATAGCTTGGTTTCTCCTTGTTTCAACCTCAAATAACATAAAAGTCTATTACCAATACATAATTTGTGAGTCTGAAAGAATGCATTCTGGTAACATTTTATAACTTTTTAAAAAGTGGCATGCCTTCATATGGTATAATGTAAATTTAAATATTTTGATTTAGCCAGACTACCAAATAGTGTTCTATCTTTAATTTCTGGTGACATTAGTATGCTGACTTTTTAATGTTTACTATTTGTCAAAATATGTAGCCAATTTTTCACCAGCAGGAGAAATCTCCTACATCACCTTTTAGGTGTGCTAGAAAATGCAGCTGCTAAAAATCAATTTTCCATTTCTGAAAAGTGCAGATCCTTGTGTATCTGCGGCTTATATTTCAAACAGCATTTGCTGCTTACAGCTTAATCTTTTAAATGGTCACTGCAACTTTGCCTCATTATCCATATATATGTCCATTATATGCAGACTCATCATTTGTGTCCAAACCTCTGTATCTTTGCTATAGTCTCTGAGGAGGTATAGTTACATATTCAACAGAGACTGAGAAAGATAATGTAAAAATTCTTTTTCACATTTCTTTGGGTTAGAAAATCATTTTGCAGCTGATAGGGTGTGTGTGTGTATGTATATATATATATATATATATATAGCTTAATAGTTTATTTTTAGAAGTCTCAACATTAGTTATTATATCAATCAATGTCTACTAGAAAGCAAAATGGAACCTGAGCTGAGGCATCCAACGGGAGTACAGTTAATGTCTCTTAGATATGGAATCGTTTTCTGACTACACAGGATGTACTTGTCTGTACTTGCCTTTTCCCATTGCAAATAACCTTCCATTTCAAATCCACACTAAAATTGATCATAAAGGTAGCTTTGTAAGTTCTTTCTCATAACATAACGTGAAAAGTAACTTGACAGCATTAAGGCAGCCAAAATCAACACATCTGTGTGCTGACATTTCAAGTGATTTATGTGCTTATCAGACTGCTCAATACAATAATGCATAATTACAAAATCTACTGACACATAAAAGAAAACTAATCATACTTTTGTGATTCAGGCAACTTCTTTTTGAAAGACAAATGCAAGTCAGTTTTATATTTATTAAATGTAAATACATTTTCATTTGAAATTTTAAAAATAATTAAAATTTTGCTTCCATAAGTGCTAGAGGAAAACAGTCCTCCTTTCATGCTTTTCTCTATATTTGGTGTTTGTCCCATTTTGCACAAAGCTCATCTGTTCTAGCCAGGAATGGAGTGGAAGAGCTCTCTCTGTAGAGCTGGCACAGGTAGATTCAATGGTTTCTTAGTCATTTATTGCCTGGGTATTCCTGGAAAATCCTGTGCCCTCTCTGAGCTGTTTCTTCTACTGTAAAGTAGCCTTCATAACAACTGCCCCTGACCTCCTTATACAACTGCTTGCAGTGTCAAATGAGAGCGGTATGAAAATACTTCTGTACAGGTGAAATGCTACACTAAAATATATTTTAAATTAATTTTCCTTTATATCTAGTCAAAACATGTTTGTTCCTAAAGAGCAACATAAGCCAAGTCTCCTGGAAATAAAATGATACCATTACAAATCTCAATACAAAAATGCAATAAAGAGTAATAAGCCGTTATATAATGGCCAATAAGGATAACATTTCTCAGTCCCAGACCAAGAACAAGTACCACTACTTGTAGAATTGCTCAACCTTTCAGTTCTTTAACACTCTGAAAAGTAGTATTTTTACACCATTGAAAGATGATTTTTAAGGAAAAACAAAATCAAATATTAAGTTTTTTGTTGGCAAAGTTATAAAGTAAATTTCTGATTGTTTACTTTAGCTTTCATGTAGTTCAGGATAATTGAATAAATCCCTAGAAGTGGAATCATGGTTCCTCAGAAATGTAAACTCTGGGAACTAAGCCTATGGCAAAATATAATTCCTGCTTCATTTTAATAAATGCTGAACAAAGAGAAATAGCCACTCCTCCCTATCTGCTCTTCCATGTAAAAGAAAAGATTCATCCCATTAGATAAAGGTCTGGAATCTCCCTGATGTCTTATTGTCCCCTGCCCCCACCCCCATGAGCTAAGGCTACTTCTCTTCCCAATGTCCAAATGTGAGGCTTTGCTATCAGTGCTACACAACAGAGAAGGCTCCCAGATAGCAGAGATAGTTTGTCCAGGAGAATGTTGTGATTTTCGCTTTGCTGGTTCTGTCTCAAAATATGCATTGCTCCTTATCTCCTGGGAAGTGAATATGGAGTATCCCTGATGGTTCCTTTGGGTCTTTGTAGAATGCATCATTTGAATGAAAGGGGACAAAGACTGAGGAGAATACAGGATGGCTAAAGGGATAAGTAAATATTGTAAGAGATATTTGACTAAAGTATGGACTTTAGGTGTGGTGGACAGAGATTGAGGTGGCTCCCATGATCTCCACTTGCCTGGTATTCTCGTACTTGTATATTCGCCTTTCCTGAATGCAGGTGAGACCTGTGATTTGCTTCTAACCAACAGGGAATAGCAAAGATTAGAGATGTCATTCCCTTGATCATGTTATTAAGCCTCCATCTGAGCAGACTGGAGCTAGAGTTTCTCCTAGCTGGCTTGATACAGTCAGTGACCATGTTGAGAAGCTACATGGCAAAGAACTGTGAGTGACCTCTAGGTCTTGAGGGGTAGCATCCAGCTGGCAACTAGCAAAAGGGCTGGGCTGCTCTCACACAGAAACAAATAAATAAATTTTGCCAACACTTGAATGTGCTTGGAAGCAGATTTTTCCCTGTGCAATCTTCCAGATGAGAATACAGCCCAGTCAACAACTTAATTGCAACCTTCTGAGGCCCTGAGCAGAGAACCCAATAAAGCCAGGTCTGGACTCCTGAGTCACAGAAACTGTGATACATAGGTATTCTTTTAATTTGTAATAATTTGTTATGCAGCATTAGAAAACTAACAAACCGGCCAGGCACAGTGGCTCATGACCATAATCCCAGCACTTTGGGAGGCCAAGGCAGGCAGATCACAAAGTCAAAAGATTGAGACCATTTTGGCCAACCTGGTGAAATCCCGTCTCTACTGAAAATATAAAAATTAGCTGGGCGTGGTGGCATGCGCCTGTAATCCCAGCTACTTGGGAGGCTGAGGCAGAAGAATCACTTGAACCTGGGAGGTGGAGGTTGCAGTGAGCCGAGATTGGGCCACTGCACTCCAGTCTGCCGACCGAGTGAGACTCCATCACAAAAAAAAAAAAAAAGAAAGAAAAGAAACCTAACAAACCAGATTACAAGTGGAAGTCAGAAAGAAGACTTGGTGAAATGATTATCAGTAACAGAGAGGTAAAGAAAATGGGTTGGCCGGGCACGGTGGCTCACGCCTGTAATCCCAGCATTTTGGGAGGCTGAGGTGGGTGGATTAATTGAGGTCAGGAGTTCGAGACCAGCCTGCCCAACATGGTGAAACCCATCTCTACTGAAAATACGAAAATTAGCTGGGCATGGTAGCGGGCACCTGTAATCTCAGCTACTCAGGAGGCTGAAACAGGAGAATTGCTTGAACCCGAGAGGTGGAGGTTGCAGTGAGATGAGATTGCACCACTGCACTCCAGCCTGGGCAACAGAGAAAGACTCTGTCTCAATAAATAAATAAATAAATAAATAAATAAATAAATAAATAAATAAATAAAATAAAAGAGTTAAGTGCAGAGCACAGGGCAACATGAGGAATGGATAGTGTAAGAGTTTTTGCATTATTTACAAAATGTAAAGGACTGTATTTGTCAATGAAAGGTGAAGCACACTGCTGTACAGCAATATCTTTAGGGTACAAAGTAATTTCAAGTTATGCTGTACTTTTTAGATCCTGAAACTTTTCTTCCTATTAAACATGTATATTCTTTGCTTCTTAACTGTTTATCCCTGTACTGCATGTTTCATTTTCACAGCTTTGTTTAGAATCCCTACATCAACTGGCCCGTTCCCACATCTTTTCCTTACCTGGTTGAACTGCAAGAAACTCTTTTTTTCCAACAACATAAATAGTAAGATCTGACATTGTAAAAGTCCTCTTTTATAAAGAGGAAGCATATAATGAAATAGTTAAATCTTTTTTAATTAGAATAAGCTAGATGTACTTTCTGGTAACCAATCACTCTATCTTACTGATTCTGCCTCATCGATTCACCATCTACTTCCAAACTTCATCCAACAACATGTTTTCTTTCTATGATCACACCTCTTACTTTCTCACTTTTATTCAATTCCACATGAACTTTTTGAAAGTTAACACATTCATTTCCTCAACACTGTACCCACAATCTTACTCGCTAGGCCATTCATTGCAAATTAGTCTTGGCCATAATTTAAGCAGCATAGAGAACATAGTAAGTATCGTGGCGACTTGGTACTGATGGCATTGGGGAGCCAGGGGAAACATTGTGGTTGTATGTAATCACTCACCATTAGAAAGAGCATCTTTTAGGTTTTGGCAGGATGTTGACATATCCATGGACTACATGCCACCCTTATCACAGGCCGACCGCGGAATTTCCTTCCTACCGTTTTTCCTCCTGCTACCTTGGTGAGAGGCACCTATCTCCCTAAAGCTCCCCTGGCAGAATGTGAATATACTCAGATCCTCTGTCTTGATGAACCTATTTGCCGTCTACGTTTGGTAGATTTGTGGATTCAGATAATTTCAATGTTATGCCCTGGAATCAATCAGTTGGCCACTGGAGGTTTCAAACCTCAGTATGTGCTGCACATACTGATGTGGTTAGATATTCTTCTTAAATTCTAAACCAGTGGTATTCAAGAATGCCTTAGTTATGGCCCATTTTTGTAAACATACATCATCTTCCAGTGATTCAATCATGCAAGAACAATAGTGGATATTAAGAGCTATTGTCACTGTGCTACATTTCCAGGTGGAATTCCCACAATGGACTATAAAACCACTTAAAGGTAGACAGTGTAACTCTATTGTAGTTCATAATGGTGAAGAATTGAAAGAGTATAACAATTGTGTTCAAAAGTCTATTTCATGAACTCTTTAGATTAAAAATCTATGTTCAATCCACAGACAACAATAAAGAAAATACTGATCCAGCAATTATCAGGTTGATTTAGACAATATACTTCATGGATCTTTGTAACTAAAACTAAATACTCCCTTAATTTTCAAAAGCAGCTATATAATACATGGCCTACTACAATTACGTCAATGAATGGTTCAAAATATTGCTGTATAGATACTAATTAACAAAGCAGCGAGGAAGAGAAGAAGGCAAGCAAATAAACAGTTGGAAACAAAATCTTTACAAGCACCAATGGTTTAAATTATGCTTATTATCATATTATTAAAATTGTGTTCATAGTCAATTCCAGCTTTAAGTTACCGTATCAGTGAAAACACTGAGATATTTACAATGAGATATCTGCATATATTTCAATATTTCACTATTTCAAACTAATCACAGCACGAAGTAATGAAAGACATTTTATGTAAATCTATTAATTTTAATGTTATAGAAATATCATTGTAAACTAGTATATTATTATAATGTATTATAGTCTGAGAGTTATGGCCATAGAGTTATTTTTATATACTCTATTTAAAAATATTAAAAATATTTTTAAATCTTTTTATTAATTAAAGACTTTAGTTTTATCTTCTGGATAAGTAATATGAAGCTACAATGTTTTAAATTTTTGGTTCAGATTTAGTGCCTATCCAAGATACTGCTGAAGTACCTGCGGAAGTACAAGTTGCTATTGAGGAAGATTCAACTTACCTAAATAAGAGAAAATCTTAAAATAGTCAATACGAAACATTAGAATAAATAATTCCAGCAAGGAAGGAATAAAAGAGCCTAATTAGTAATAAACTGCACTTTAAACAAAACCTTAATTATTGTAAGGCAATATTTCTTTATTTTATTTATTTATTGAGACAGGGTCTTGCTCTGTCATCCAGGATAGTGTACAGTTGCCCAAACACAGCTCACTGCACCCTCGACCTCCTCGGCTCAGTTGATCATCCTACCTCAGCCTCCTGAGTAGCTGGGATTACAGACAAAAGCCACTGTGCCTGGCCAAGGCAATATTTCTTGACTTTATAAAAGGCATGCTCCCTTTGTTGAATATAGAGATTGTACACCCTTCATATTATTTAGAAATGTAAATAAATCTCATGACTTAAAAAATCAAAGTATTTGACAAAGTGATATTTTATTTATAAACCACACATATTTTCTTCCATTCTCCATTAAAATAAGAAGCCCTTGGGGTGCACCATATTCCCTATCTGCATCCTTACCTTTGCTCTATAAATGACAGCCTTTAATCACATCAAGGAAAGATTGAATAGAATTTTAGAGAATAGCTACTGAATCTCTTGGTCTCCCTACCACAAGATACCCTTCTTAAATTCTAAACCGGTGGTATTTGAGAATGCTTTAGTTATGGCCTGTTTTTGTAAACACAGATCATCTTCCAAGGAATTTAAATGTGTAAAATAGTGAGAGCTGACCACTCAGACTGACTGATAAGGGAGTGAGTGTGTTCCAAATTCATTTGTTGAGTCTTCCTCTCTGCCCTCCCTAGCACCCACTCTGTATACCCAGGTCTTCCAAGGCAATCCTAAGCCTCTGAGAAATATAACTGGGAAACAACCAATTTAAAATATGTTACCAATTCTACTGTTGCTTATATTACACCCACCTTCTTATCCTGCTTCATTTTTTGGCCACTGTGGTCCCTAATGCTTTCCACAACTATGTGCAGTGCTCTTAAGGGGAATGTCTTAGTAGTATGCTCCAACATGGTTATGTTAAACGGTCATTGAAAACCTTGCAATTGTTTATATTTCTCCATTGTTTTTGTGTACATAGGCATTTTACGCTTCCTTTATGATGCAAACAGTTCTAAGATCCTCCCATAAAGCTAGGGTTATGAAACTTAATTTATAAGGTACTTTCAGATAACTATACTCTGTTTCAATAATTACTATATGTTATTCCTCTATCCTCAGTAGACTAAGTTAAATAGAAGAGATTTTGATTACTTTATCAAGTTACTTTTTGGAAGAGGATTTAAAACCAAACTTACAGAAATCCAATGGGAACAATTTCACAAGGCTTTTTTTTTTTTCATTTCAATTATTCTACCAATTTAGGCTACTATGTAAAGGTTTTTATTTAGCAAAAAAAAAAATTGCTTTTTCAAAAATCTATTTTTTCTCTAAACTCAGGCAACAAAAATAAGTTGCATTAAAATCACTCATTTAATAAGCTGTTTTTCCTATAATGGCTGAACAAGAGAAAGATCTGAATAAAAGATGTAAGATGTATAGTTTGGTAATTGTTACAGATTCTCTTTTTGGCTGGCATTTTATCAGAGAGAAACACTGTTTACCAACACCACATTGCTTAGTTCTTTCCAAATTACTTCTTGCCTGGAGAGAAAACATGGATATACTAGGTGTATTTCCACCTAAATTATGTGCACAGAAAAACATTCTTCAGTTTGTTTTTTAAGGAAACTTGTTTCCCATTGGAATTGCTTGATCAAAATTAAGATAAATTAGAAAATATCATTATGTGCCAGGGTTTTTATTCTGCAAATTCTAACTTCTTAGCTTATCTCCTTTTTATTTCTTTCTTCCTCATATATATTTCAATAGACAAACAGTATGTGAAAAATGCTCTTTTCCATTGTAAGAGCAATTATGATTAAATACATATGTGTGTAGTGTGTATAAATTTTGTGTATTTTCCCTTCCTTTATAGCAGCAGTTTTACTTATCTGTTTTTTGTAAAAGACTTAATGACAAATTAAGGTTTTAAGAATTCAGTGACACTTGAAAAAACATTTTTATTTAATTCCCGAAAGCAGTATACACACGCACACACACATACACACACACACACACACACACACATTTTATTCTAGAGACAACACTTCATTATGTTAGAAATCTATGATACCCTACAGACCATCCAGCCCTCTTCTCAGCTCCCCTAACACCAGGGGGTTTGCAGGACCCTAGCGGAGATTCATCACATTTGTACATAAACACACATTTTGGAGGAGAAGGCTGAAGAACTAAGCGAAGGCATTTATTCCACGAGGGTCACTTCTGTAATGTCCCCACATGGTACTGGGCATTCAACTGATGAACTATTGAAGAAGTGATCTCTGTATCAGTCTATAGAGTAGAATTATCCAGCAATAATCATTAAAACTGCTGAGTCGTTGCATACTAAAAATGAATATTGAATCTAGGAAGCTGAAACTTTAATCCATTTTCATATACTCTTAAAATTTTTAATAAAATTCAAACTCGGTCAGACATATCACATAATTACTTTAGGGATTAAAAATATCATAATCTCTCCTGACAAGTCATTTTAATGGTCAGTGAATTTGTATGCTATCTGTGATCTTACTTAGTGGATATATCTCAATTTCTGCTTTATTACATTCCATTACCATGTTTTATTCATCTGCCTATTCCTCTCCTGCTTAAAATTTCCAACTGAGAAAAGAAATGCTTTAACTTTCATGAAGGCTGAATCCTCCTCCTATCCAGTAAGCAAGGCTCTGAATCTGATTACATTCTTGACAGACATATTTTTTATCTATAATGAGCTAAGACAATGTGCACTCTAAATTTACCTTGGCTTCTGTAATTGATCAATTAGGAAGCATAAAGTATAGCCACTATCTTCATATTTTTTCCTGACCTGTTTATGAGTAATCTTAAGCTTCTTTCATTTCAGTAGTCAAATTTAATGATCCCTGGTAAATCGGAAGACATTTTGAGATGAATAATCTAGGTGAAAAGGAGAGCACGGTGTTTCTGATTAACTGTGGTTGTTCCTATAAGCATGGCAGTCAATACATTATGTAAGTGCCATTGAACAAATGCAAACCTTTATAATAATATTGGACACAAAGCAATTAAATAGTAAAGACTCATTACAGTGTTGAGTAGAATTTTCATGGTGCCTATATTTCTGGATAATTATAGTTATGTTTTCCACTTTGGTATTCAAACAGAAAGAATCTGTTCTTACTAAAAGGATGTTAAAGTACCCCTCTCTTTATCCCAATATGTGGAAGAATACTGAGCAGCAGAAGGAACAAGGCTGCCAATGCAGCAGGAGACATTGATGGTGCCAAAAAATGCACTCACCCTGTATTCTCAAATTAAGAGCCACCATTGCCAGGTGAAGATTTATTTGTTCTTTGAGCAAGAAGCAGACATAGCAACAGTGACAGTATGGAGGAATGTTGGTATAGCACATACTGGAGAGGAACCAGCATGAGTTACTGGGCTTTTGCTAGGTTCTGGGTACCATTTTGTGTGATGATATCATCAGTCCATTAGTCAGAGGTAACATCCCAATAAACAGGAAGTAACAATGCAAGGTAATGAGTGCTATGATGTGGGGGAATATTCCACAGGATGCAATAAAAGCAGCTATTCAACCTTGGGAGGTCAGACACGTCTTCCTAGAAAAGGTGATATGTGACATAAATTCTAGAACCATCCTACTGTACTGACCAAAAGCATTAGCATTGTCTAGGAGCAACTGATATAAATACAGAATATTATGCCCAGCCTAGGCCTACTGGAATAAATGTGTATTTTAACCAGATCTCTAGGTAATTCATACATACATTTAAGTTTGAGAAGCACTGTTCTGGAAGATAACTGGTACATAGCCAAGTGAACAGGCAGGAAGACAGCCTTCTAGGCAGAGGGAACAATACTGGCTAGGGGATAGAGGGAGAAAAAAACTTGTCCTGTACTGAGAAATGCAGGCATATACTGGTTGGTATGGCAGAAGAACAGGGTTTAATGGGAAAGGTGGCTGGAAATGAGGTAGGGGAAATGTGCAGTAGTTGGATAATATTAAGTTGATAATCAGATAATGCTATATTAAGCAGTTGGACTTTCTACAAGGTAATGATTAATAGAACCAATTTTGTATTTTAGTAAGATTAACTGCTAAATGGAGATCTGATAGCAGGAAGAACATGCAGTAGTTAAAGAAATGAAAATGATGAACTAAACTAGATAGTGGCAATGAGGATGGAAAGAAATGCACAAATTGAAGAAATAGTAACATTAAAAATTTGAGAAGACTTGGTGAGCAATTGAGTAAAGAGGGTTAAGAGGGTTTGGCAGTGAAAAGAGAAATTCAGGATACCTCCAGATTTCTGGTTTAGGCATGAAAGTAGTTGGTGTGACCAATCCCTGAGAATAAAGATGGAATTTAGATAGAAAAGGTAAGCCATGTGGAACACGTTGAGTTTGAAATATCTGTAGAATGTCCAAATGGTAATATCTAGTAACCGTTTACTACATAAGTCTAGAGCTATAAATACGAAAGTCGTCCACACTGAGTTGTTAACAAAGACTTAAGAGTGGATTATAGTCAGAGGTGGAGAAAGATGGCCAAATAGAAGCCTGTATTGATCATCCTCCCGCAGGAACACCAAATTGAACAACTATCCATACAAGAAAGCACCTTCATAAGAACCAAAAATCAGGTGAGTGATCAGAGTAACTGGGGGAGGGAGAATGAAGTGATTGTGGGACTGTGCATTGGAACTCAGTACTGCCCTGTCACAGTGGAATGCAACACCAGGCAGAACTCAGCCTGCGCCCATGGAGGAAGCATTTAGACCAGCCCTAGCCAGAGGGAAATCGCCCATCCAGCAGTAGGAACCTGAGTTCCTGTTAGACCCAACACTGCAAGCTAAAGTACTCTGGGATCCTAAAAAAACTTGAAAAGCAGTCTAGGCCACAAGGACTTTAATTTATGGAAAAGTCTAGATGCTGTGCTAGGCTGGGAGCCCGTGGATATGGGGCACACACGGCCCAGTGAGACACTAGCTAGGGCAGCCAAGGGACTGCTTGTGTCACCCCTCCTCCAACTCCAGGCAGTGCAGCTCAAAGCTCCAGGAAAGTAAAGAGGACTTGGTCTTGCAACTTGGACATAGTAAAATAAATCATGGAGCAGAGTCCTGATGCTCTCATTTCAGGCCCTAGCACCCAGATATCTCAAGACTCAACCTGGAACAGAAGGGAACTCGCTACGTTGAAGGGAAAGAAGCAGTTCTGGCAGGATTTATCACCTGCTGACTAAAGAACCCTTAGGTCTAGAATAAATATCAGCAGGAGACAGGCAGTAGTTGCCATGGGCATTGGGTGATACCTAGTACCATGATGGCTTTTGGTGTGATCCAGCACATTCCCAGTTGTGGTGGCTATAGGGAGAGACTCCTGCTTGAGGGAAGGAGAGAGAAGAGTGAAAAGCACTTTGTCTTGCAATGTGGATACCTGCTCAGGCACTGTAAAATAAAGCATCAGAGACTCCCAATTTCTCTAATTCCAGGCCCTAGTTCCCAAATGGCATTTCTAAACCAGCCCTGGGGCAAGAAGGCAACCTGCTGCCATGAAGGGAAAGACACACATTTGGCAGGATTCACCATCTGCTGACTAAAGAGCCCTTGGTCCTTGAATAAACCTCAGTGGTACCAGGCAATAGTTGCTACAGGCCTTCGGCAAGACCTGGCACTGAGTACTGTGCCAGCTTCAGGTGTGACCCAGCACTGTCCCAGTGGTGGTTATGGGAGTGCTTGCATAATCTTTTCCCCAGTTCTGGGCAGCTCAGCACAGACAGTGACTCCATTTGTTTGGGAGACAGTAAGGGAAGAGAATAAGAGATTGCTGGTAATCCATAGAATTCTCCTGGATCTCATCCAGGACCATCAAGGTGGTACCTCTACAAGTCTGCAAGAGTCACAGGGTTACTAGGCTTGAGATGCCCCCTAATGCACATGTGGCTGCAATGACCAAAGATGTAGATCACAACACTTAATGTTCTTTGAATAATTGGAAAACCTTCCTAAGAAGGATAGATACAAACAAGCCCAGATTGCAAAGTTTAGAATAACTACGTAAGTCTTCAATGCCCAGAAATCGATGAACATCCACCATCATTAAGGCTATCTAGACAAACATGACCTCATCAACTGAAATAAATAAGGCACCAGTGACCAAACCTGGAGTGACAGAGATAATCAAACTTTCAGACAGAAAATTCAAAATAGCTATTTTGGGGAAGCTCAATGAAATTCAAGATAACATGAAGAAGGAATTCAGAATCTTATCACATAAAGTTAATAAACAGAATGAAATAATTCTTAAATATCAAGCGGAAATTCTGAAGCTACAAAATTCAATGGAATGCATCAGAGTTTTTTAGCAGCAGAATTGATCAAGCAGAAGAAAAAATTAGTGAACTTGAAGACAGGCTTTATGAAGATACACAGTCAGGGGAGACAAAAGAAAATAGAATAAAAATAATGAAATATACTTAAAAGATCTAGAAAATAGCCTCAAAGTGGCCAATCTAAGGGTTGATGGCCTTAAAGAGAAAGTAAAGGAGATAGGAGTAGAAAGTTTATTCAAAGGGATAATAGCAGAGAACTTTCCAAACCTAGAGAATGATATCAATAACCAAGTATATGAAGGTTATAGAACACCAAACAGATTGAAACCAAAGAAAACTATCTCAAGACATTTAATAATCAAAATTCCAAAGGTCAATGATAAAGAAAGGATCCTGAAAGCAGCAAGTGAAAAGAAACAACACACAGTGGAGCTCCAAAACATCTGGCAGCAGACTTTTCAGTGGAAACTTTACAGGCCAGAAGAGAGTAGCATGACATATTTCAAGTGCTAAAGGAAAAAAAAAAAAACTTTTATTCTAGAATATTATATTCAGCAAGAATATCCTTCAAACATGAAGGAGAAATAAAGACTTTCCCAGGCAAACAAAAAGTGAGGGATTTTATCAATACCAGACCTCTCCTGCAATAAATGTTAAAAGTAGTTCTTCAACCAGAAAAAAATGATATTAATGAGCAACAAGAAATCATCTGAAGGTACAAAACTCACTGGTAATAGTAAGTACACAGGCAACTACAGAATATTATAACACTGTAATTGTAGTGTATAAACTACTTATATCTTGAGTAGGAAAACTAAAAAATAAACCTCTCAAAAATAATACCTATGACCACTTTTAAAGATTTAGACAGCATAATAAAATATGAATCGAAACAACAAAAAGTGAAAAAGCGGGGGATAAAGTTAAAATGTAGAGTTTTTATTAGTTTTCTCTTTACTTGTTTGTTAGATTGTTCGCTTTTGCAATCAAAGTTAAATTGTCATCTGTTGAAAAATAATAGGTTGTAAGATGTTACTTGCAAGCTGCTTGGTAATCTCAAATCAAAACACCTACAAAAAAAAAGAGCAAGAAATAAAAACATACCACCAACAAAAAGAAAATCACTCACAAAATGTAAAAGAGGAAGAAAGAAAGGAAAAAAGATAAATCCACAAAATAACCAGAAAAATCCAAGGTGACAGTATTCCAGAATAGACCATATGTTAATCCACAAAACAAGTCTTAAAAAACTGAACAAATTGAAATCATTTCAGACATCTTCACTAAGCACAATGGAATAAAACTAGAAATTAATAATAAGATGTACTTTGGAAATTATACTAACACATGGAAATTAAACAATATGCTCCTCAATGACCAGTAATAAATAAATAAATAAATTTTATTTATTTAAAAATAAAATTTAAAAATTTTTTGAAACAAAAGAAAATGGAAACACAACATACCAAAACACAGGGGATACAGCAGAAGTGGTACTAAGAGGAAAGTTTATAGCAATAAGCACTTACATCAAAAAAGCAGAAAAACCACATTTTTATTTTTATTTATTTATTTTTGAGACAGAATCTCTGTTGCCCAGGCTGGAGTGCAGTGGCACCATCTCAGCTCACTGCAACCTCTGCCTCCCAGGTTCAAGCAATTCTCCTGCCTCAGCCTCCTAAGTAGCTGGGATTACAGGTGCCTGCCACCACACCTGGCTAATTTTTTTGTATTTTTAGTAAAGATGAGGTTTCACCATGTAGGCCCAGCTGGTCTCAAACTTCAGACCTCAGGTGATCTGCCTGCCTTGGACTCACAAAACGCTGGGACTCACAAAATGCTGGGTGGCTGTGAGCCACCGCACCTGGCCAAAACTTCAAATAAACAACCTAAAAATGCTTTCTAAAAAACTAGAAAACCAAGAGCAAACCAAACATAAAATTAGTAGAAGAAGATAAAGATCACAGTAGAAATAAACCAAACTTAAAAAAAAATCAATGAAACAAAAAGCTGGTGTTTCAAAAGATAAAATCTACAAACTTTTAGCCTTACTCCCCCACTGCCAAAAAAAAAGAGACAAGACCCAAATAAATAAAGTCAGAAATGGAAAAGAAGACATTACAACTGCCACTGCAGAAATTCAAAGGATTACTAGAGACCATTAATATCAACTATATGCCAGCAAATTGGAAAACCTAGAAAGGAATGAATTAAACATAGTAATGCTTAAAATTGAACCATGAAGAAATCCAAAACCTGAATAGATTGAAGCCATAATAAAAAAATCTCCCATCAAAGGGGACTTAATGGCTTCACTGCTGGATTCTACCAAACATTTAAAGAAGAGCTAATACTAATCCTACTCAAATCATTCTGAAAAATAGAGGAGGAAGGAATACTTCTAAACTCATTCTATGAGGCCTGTATTACCCAGACACCAAAACCAAAGACACATCAAAAAAATAAATAAATATAAAGAAAGAAAAAGAAAGAAAGAAAACTATAAGCCAATATCTCTGGTGAACTGATACAAAAATCTTCAAAAAATATTAGCAAAATGAATTAAAACACCTTAAAAAGATCATTCATAATGACCAAGTGGGATTTTTCCCAAGAATGCAAGGATGGTTTAACATACACAAATCAAACAATGTGATGCATCATATCAACAGATTGAAGGACAAAAACCATATGATTAGTTCAATTAATGCTAAAAAGGTATTTTATAAAATTTAACATCCCTTCATGATAAAACCCCTCAAATAACTGGGGATAGAAGGAACATACCTCAACATATAATAATAAAAGCCATACGTGACACACTCACAACTAGTATCACACTAAATGGGAAAAAAAACTGAAAGTATTTTCTCTAAGATCTGGGAGAAGATAAGGATGCCCACTTTTATCACTGTTATTCAACACAGTACTAGCAGTCCTAGCTAGAGAAGCTAGCCAAAACAAAGAAATACACAGCATCCAAATGGGAAGGAAGAAGTCAAATTATCCTTGTTTGCAAATGATATGTTATTTTTGGAAAACCCTAAAGACTCCACCAAAAAGCTATTAGAACTTATAAACAAATTCAGTAAAGTTGCAGGATGCAAAATCAACAAACAAAAATCAGTTGCATTTCTATATGCCAACAGTGAAATACCTGAAAAAGAAATCAAGAAAGTAATCACATTTATGATAGCTACAAAGAAAATAAAATCCTGGATGGAATTCCCAGAGATAACCAACAGGCTCTCTGACATTGCAACTGCAGAGGTACTTGCCATTGCTGCCTTTGGTCAGTGAACCAGAGAAAGACCCTGATTGGTTATTTGCACCTCTAGTAGGCCAAAGGTACTCTCTATGGAGAGAAGGCCAGTTTCTCTTCCCTGTGAACCCTTCAACCCCTGCTCTTCTCTAGGCAGGGCCCCTGGTTTGGGCCCACAGCACAGTCACTCTACCAGTGGCTGAACATTTCCACTGACAGAGGCTTTGTGTCTCTCTGGGGTGGAGTTCCTGGAGGCAACTGACAGCCCCTCTGCCACTGCTGTTGTAGTGCTACCCATCTTGGCTGCCACCAGGCTTGGGAAGAAACAAAAAGCCCAAATGTTTTATTTGCACCTCCAGGACACCGCAGCCACACTATAGAAAGGAGGCCAGACTGTTTTCACTGTGAATCCCCCAGGTCCCCGCTCTTCAACAGGCAGGGTCCTAGCTTAGGCCTGTAGTGTAGCCACTCCACACCTGGCTGATGATTTTGATTGGCAGTGGTTCTGTATTTCCATGGGGTGTAACTTCAAGAGGGAAGTGGCAGGCCTCTGCCATTGCCACTGCCAAGGGCCCTGTCCCTGCTGCCACAAAGTGAGGAGGGAACAAAAAGCCTGAGCTATCCCCAAGGTGGCAGCATATAGCCCAGGGTGCCAAGCTAAGGTCTATGGCCAAAACTCAAGTGAGAGGGAAGCTCACACTCTCAGAGCACTGAGAGAGTGCATGGCTGCAAATGCGAGGAAATATAGAGAAGCTGCAAATCCTTAAAGAAAACAAATTCTAAGCAAGAATTCCATATCTAGCCAAACTAAGCTTCACATGTGATGGAGAAATAAAATCCTTTTCAGATTTTACTCCCCTTTGCAAATGCTAAGGAAAATCATTACCACCAGACCTCTATTACAAGAAGTACTTAAGGGAGTGCTAAATATGATAACAAAAAACTGCTATTGGCCACTACAAAATATACTTAGGTACATAGACCATTGACACTATAAAGCAACTACATGATCGAGTCTACCTAACAATCAGCTAACAACATGATGACAAGATTGAACCTGCATATATCAGTATTACCCATAAATTTAAACAGGTTAAATGTCCCATGTCAAAGGCACAGAATGGCAAGTTGGATAAAGGCGAGGACCCAAATGTACGCTGTCTTCAAGAGATCCATCTCACATGCAATGAGAGATACCATAAACTCAAGGTAAAAGAATGGAGAAAGATCTATCAAGCAAAAAGAAAAAAAAAAAAGAAGAGGGGTTGCTATTCTTATTTCAGACAAAACAGACATTAAACCAACAACAATCAAAAAGGACAAAGAAGTACACTATATAATGATAAATGGTTCAATTCAACAAGAAGACATAACTATCCTAAATATACAGGCACATAACACTGGAGTATCTTAATTAGTAAAACAAGTTCTTAGAGACTTACGAAGAGACTTAAATAACCACAAAATAATAGTGTGAGAATTTCAACAACCCACTGATGATATTAGATTATTGACATAGAATACTATCAAAGATACTTGGGGCCTAAACTTGAAACTTGACCAAATGGACCTAACAGACAACTGTAGAACATGCCACCCAAAGAGAATAGAACATACATTCTTCTCATCTCCACATGGCACATAGTCTAAAATAACCACACACTCGGCCATAAAGCAATTCTTAATAAATTAAAAAAAAATCCAAAATTATACCAAACATACTCTCAGATCAAAGTGTAATAAAATCAATATGAAGTACAATAAATCAATATGAAGAATATCTCTTAAAACCATAAAATTACATGGAAATTAAACAATTGGCTGCTGAATGACATTTGGGTAAACAATAAAATAAAGACAGAAATCAAGTAATTATTTGAAACTAATGAAAACAATAAAAATCATACCAGAATCTCTGGGACACAGCTAAGGTAGTGTTAAGATGAAAGTTTAGAGCAGTAATGCCCACATCAAAAAGTGAGAATGTTCTCAAATTAACAACCTAACATCACATCTAGAGGAACTAGAACAACAAGAGCAAACCAACCCCAAAGCTAGCAGAAGAAAAGAGATAACCAAAATCAGTGCTCAACTGAATTAAGTAGAGATGAGAGAAACCATACAAAAGACTAATAAATTCAAAAGTTTGTTGCTTAAAATAATAAATAAGATTGATAAAGTGCTAGCTAGACTAATAAGGAAAAAAAATGAGATAAGATCCAAATAAACACAATCAGAAATGACAACGATGCCATTACAATTGATTCCGCAGAAATACTAAGAACCCTCATATACTATTATGAACACTTCTATACACACAAACTAGAAAACCTAGAAGGAATGGATAAATACATTCAATCTCCCAAGATTAAACCTGGAAGAAATTGAAACCCTGAACAGATCAATAATGAGTTTTGAAATTGAATCAGTAATAAAATACCTACAAAACAAAAAGCCCAAGATCAGATGGATTAACAGCTGATTTCTTCCAGACTTATAAAGAAAAGCCACTGCCAATCCCACTGATATTATTCCAAAAAATCAAGAAGGAGGGACTCCTATCTAATTCTATGAGGACAGTATCATTCTGATATCAAAACCTGGCAGAGACACAACAAAAAAAGAAAACTTCAGGTCAATATCCCTGACGAACATAGATGTGAAAATCCTCAACAAAATACTAGCAAATTGACTCTAGCAGCACATTTAAAAGCGAATCCTTCACAATCAAGTAGGTCTTATTCCTGGGATACAAGGTTGGTTCAACATACACATATCAATAAATGTGTTTCATCACATACACAGAACTAAAAGTGAAAACCACATGATCACCTCAATAGATGCAGAAAAGGGTTTGATAAAATTCAGCATCCCTTCTTGTTAAAACCCACAACAAATTAGGCATCAAAGCGACATACCTCAAATAATAAGAACGATAAATGACAAACCCATATCCAATATCATACTGAATGGGCAAAAGCTGGAAGCATTACCCTTGAGAACTGGAATGAGACAAGGATGCCCACTCTCACCTATTGAATTCAACATATTATTGGAAGTCCTAGCCAGAGCAATCAGGCAAGAGAAAGAAAAAAAGCATCCAAATAAGAAGACAGGAAGTTAAACTATCTCTCCTCGCAGATGATATGATTTTATATCTAGAATACTCCCAGAGTCTCTGCTTACTAGCTCCTAGATGTGATAAACAACTTTAGCAATGTTTCAGGACACAAAATCAATGTACAAATATCAGTAGCATTTCTACACACCAGTAATGTCCAAGCTGAAAGTCAGATCAAGAATATAATTCCACTCACAATAGCATTAATAATAATAATAATAATAATAATAATAATAGTAAAATATCTAGGAATAAGGGAGGTGAAAGATCACTACACTGAAAATTACAAAACACTATTGAAGGAAGTCAGACATTGTCACAAACCAATGAAAAAACATTCCATGCTCAAGAATAGGAAGAATAAATATTGTTAAAATGACCGTACTCTACAAAGTAACTGAAAGATTCAATGCTATTCCTATGAAACTTCCATGACATTCTTCACAGAATTAGAACACTATGCAGCCATAAAACAAAACAAAACAAAACAAAACAAAACAAAACAAAACAAAACATAACAGAATCATGTCCCTTGCAGCAATATGGTTGGGGCTGGAGGC
Organism: Homo sapiens; assembly: GCF_000001405.40. Classification (NCBI taxonomy): domain Eukaryota; kingdom Metazoa; phylum Chordata; class Mammalia; order Primates; family Hominidae; genus Homo; species Homo sapiens. The sequence goes on from NC_000005.10 coordinate 84,006,435, forward strand.
CATTATGCTATGCAAACTAACACAGGAACATACTGTGTAACAAACCAAATACTGTATGTTCCCACTTGTAAGTGCAAGCTAAACATTGAGTACACATGGACACAAAAAAGGCAACAATAGATACCAGGGCCTACTTGAGAGCAGAGGTTGGAAGGAAGGCAAGGATTTAAAAAAGTACTTAACAGGTACTATGCTCATTACCTGGATGATGAAATAATCTGTACACCAACCCCTGTGACACACAATTTATCTATGGAACAAACCTAAACAGGTAACACCTGAACCTAAAATAAAAGTTAAAAGGAAAATGTTTCCAGTTAATTACTTGAATCCACAAAGTGAAGCACACATGGGAAATAAAACGTTTAACATTATAAAATTTTAAATATATAATTGTTCTCCTGTCTTTTTTAAGCTTATTTAAAGCAAAGAAACTTATATAAAAAAAGAATTATACTACAGAACCACAGTAACCACAACATCATGGTACTGGCAAAAAACAGACATATAGACCAATAGAATAGAATAGAGAACTAAGAAATAAATCCATACATCTACAGTAAACTCATTTTTGACAAGGCACCAAGAACCTACATTGGAGAAAAGAGTGTTTTTAATAAATGATGCTTGGAAAACTGGATATCCATATGCAGAAGAATAAGACTAGACCACCATCTCTTGCCATCTACAAAAATAAAATCCAAAGATACAAGATTTAAATCTAAGATCTGAAACTATGAAACTACTAAAAGCAAATATTGGGAAAGCATTGATCTGGGCAAAGATTTCTTGAGTGATACCCCACAAGTACATGTAACCAAAGCAAAAGTGGACAAATTGGATCCCATTGAGTTAAAAAGCTTCTGTACAGCAAAGGAAGCAATCAACGAAGTGAAGAGACAACCCACAGAATGGGGAAAAAAATAGCAAACTATCCATCTGACAAGGGATTAATAACCAGAATACATAAGGAGTTCAAACAACTCAGTAGGAAAAAAACCTAATAATCTGATCAGAAAATGGGCAGAAATCTGAATGACATTTCTCAAAAGAAGACATACAAATGGCAAACAGGTATATAAAAAGGTTCTCAATATCATTAATTGATCATTACAGAAATGCAAATAAAAACTACAGTTAGATATCATGTCATTCCAGTTAAAATGGCTTTTATCTAAAAGACCAGCAGTAGCAAATGCTGGCAAGGTTGTGGAGAAAAGGGAACCCTCATACACTATTGGTGGGAATGTAAATTAGTACAGCCACTTTGGAGAACAGTATGGAGATTCTTCAAAAAACTAAAATAGAACTACCATATGATCCAGCAATCCTACTGCTTTTGTATACATACCAAAAATAAAGAATCTCAGTATATCAAAAAGATATTCCTACTCCCAGGTTTATTGCAGTATTATTCACAAGAGCCAAGATTTGGAATCAACCTAAGTGTCCATCAGCAGATAAATGGATAAAGAAAATGTGGTATATATCCACAATGGAGTACCATTCAGCCATAAAAAATGGATACCCTGTCATTTGCATTAGCATGGATAAAACTGGAGGACATCACGTCAAATGAAAGAAGCTAGGCACAGAAAGACAAACTTCACATATTTTCACTCATTTGTGGGAGCTAAAAACTAAAACAATTGGACTCCTGGAGACAGAGAATAGAATGAGGGTTACCAGAGGCTGGAAAGGGTAGTAGGGGTTGCAGGAGTAAAGTGAGGATGGTTAATGGGTACAAACATATGGTTAGAAAGAAGAAATAAGATCTAGTATTTGATAGCACAACAGGGTGACTACAGTCAACAATAATTTATTGTACATTTAAAAATAACTAAAAGATTATCATTGGAATGTTCATAATACCAAGAAAGGATAAATGCTTGAGGTGAAGGATACCCCATTTACTCTTAGGTGATTATTAAACATTGTATGCCTGTATCAAAATACCTCACATATATCTCATATACACACCTACTATGTACCCACAAAAATGAAAAAAATATTAGATGGGAAACAGAGTGGATTACATCACCCAGGGAGAGCATTCAATTTGAATGGAAAAATAAGATGGAATATTGGGTAACACCCTCCTTTGATGGGCAGAGGAAAAACAGCACTAAAAACATACCAGAAAGGATTAGCCAGAGGGTTAGGAGAAAAATGATATATTATTAAAGAAGAAGTAATGTTTTAATAATGTAAAATCTTTATTGCTGATGTGACCTTGCTAAAAGCAGTTTCACAGAAATGATGGGATAAAAAAGTGAGTAGGAGGTGGGAGGAAGGTTAAAAATAAGTGAGGATAATAATCAGTTGACTGCTAATGAACGAGAGAGGGAATATCTTAAGGATTTTTGTTTTGTTTTGTTTTGTTTTGTTTGTGGGGGGAAACAGGGTCTCGCTCTGTCACCCAGGCTAGAATGCAGTGATGGGATCTCAGCTCACTGCAACCTCCGCCTCCCAGGCTCAAGCAATTCTCCTGCCTCAGCCTCCCGAGTAGCTGGGATTACAGGTATGCACCACCACATCTGGCTAATTTTGTATTTTTAGTAAAGATGGGAGTCTCACTATGTTGCCCAGCTGGTCTTAAACTCCTGGTTTCCAGTGATCTGCCTGCCTCAGCCTCCCAAAGTGCTGGGATTACAGGCGTGAGCCACCGCACATGGCCACTTCAGGAATTTTTAAATACAGAAATCTAAACTTGGTGGGCCTGCCCAAGTTGTTTTGTTTCATTTTAAAGTATTTTCCCAAAATAAAAAAAAATAAAAACAGCCACTTTCTTTATAAAATCCTGCTTAATGAGGTTTATTTCTGTTTAAGTTTGTAGCATGTTATGCAAACATCAAAACTGCGAAATTGTGGAAGTGATCATCATTAACCTGATGACCATTTTGCTATAGGGCCAAGAACAGATGGAGCCGGTGGGATCTCCTGACATTCTTTCCAAACTTGGAAAATCCAGCCTGCAATATGACAAAATGGTATTTTCACTCCCTGGGACTTAGTAAGCCTTTGTTTTGAATAACAAATATGTTTAACATATTAAAGTCACCATCTATCTATGATATAATTAACTATAGAAAAAAAACCTACACGTGCTAACATTATTGTCAGGCAATTAAACAAAATTCCAGGTAGATTAATGTTTAATTTAATGAGCTAACATTTGAATTAAGATCTTGTGACATTAATGATATCGAGAGCTGTCAAGAGTGAAGAGCCCTGTCATGAGTCGCTGCTACACAAACATCACACTGAGCCTTTATAATGGAGAAATGGATGACTCGAGACCAGAAGGTCTCTAAGCATGACTGGAAACCATGGTCAAAACCTGACATTTGAAATATTGCTGGTTGTGGGAAGAAAGAACTTTCCACAGACCAGGCAGATGGTCATCATATACTACGCACAATTCTTCTTTCCCTCCACCCTACATCCCTGTCCCTGTCCCAGATGGGAGACCACTACCACCAATTAAGGCAAGTTGCCTGCAAAAGTTCTTTATGTTTCATTGGTAATGACTCGATAGAGCAGGTGTAACTTCCTCACTTCATAAAGGCTGAAACTGAGCAAAGTGAAGTCAGGCAACTTATGCAAGTCACACAGCTAGCGGACTCAAAGCACAGTGTGGCAGATGCCAACATTCGTGCCTACAACAGTAAAGTACCACCTCCTAGGAACTCATTAGTACTTACATTTCAGGCTTGTGTTTGGGGTTGTGTTTGGAGTTTAATGTTTCACATTGACATCTCTCGTTTCTTCATCTTTCTTATTCCTAGAGCTTATCTTTCTGAGCATTGTTTATATCAAGTAACCTTTTCTTACAATTACCTCACATAAAATTTTTACTCTATAATTTGAGAACTTTATAACCATGATCCATTTTACTCATTTTATCTCATTCTTTTTAAAAAATCTGATTCTTTATAACATTTTGCTTGTGTACTTCCCTATCATACTGTGCAAGGCTGCTAATTTTCTCCAGTTTTGTTCTATTTATTTCACTCTGTTCTATTCTCTTCCAAAATTATTATTTTTCCAAATTATCTTTCCAGTACAGGTTCTATTTCCTCCAATTTTTTAATATTTAGTTGTAGTTTTTATAAATGTAAGGTACAGTTTCTATTATGTTTCTGTCCAGTTTTACAGGTGTTATTTAATGTGCATAATACTGTATACTGTTTTGTGCTTCCCATTTTACAAAGCCTAGGTATTATCTCAACTAATTATCCTTTTTCATATACACAATCACCCTAATTGAATTACAAATTCTATCATGTTCTTTGTGAATTAAATAAATCTGGGATCTGCTAGCACTGGCTGTTTTGTAAATGAATGTCAACCAGGCAGTTCACACGTATGTTCAATCACATTCTCCCCTACAGGAGAGAATTTCAGATAGGCATGAAGCCTAGGACAGCTGAAGAGTGCTTCTGGAAAACAGACCTAGACTTCACCCAGTACAAAGTAAATTCACCCCAATGATCAGGTAGTATATATCAAGAGCATCCTGAACAAAGTCAGGGATTGTATGTAAAATGGGATGAAACAAGTCCTTATAAAAATGGCTCCATGTCACATCTCAGCGTGTAAGGTACCATCTATGCTCCAGTGAGAACTTTTAAAGCTAAACCTCTGACTATAGCATACTGTGTTATCTATTGCTTTATATAACATTGCCTTCTGTTTCCATATCCTTCTCTGTTAATGACATTTCACATTATCTGTGTCTTTACACATTTTTAGTAGCTACATCACTGTCCACTGCAAACCCACAGGATCCTAGACCTGCTCTTTCTCTAATCTTCTGTATCTTAGCAATCGGCCAAAAAACTTGAAATCATACTTGATTTCTCCTGGCCCTCAAAGCCTACATTCATTCTGCCAAATCATGTAAGTCCATCTTTAAAATTTATACTGACTGTGCATTTCTTCTTATCTCCATTACTATCACCCAAGTTCAAAATCCTTTCTTATTTTTCACCTGAGTATTGCAATATTTTCTTAGATGACCCTAACTGATCTTGCCGTTTCTACTCTTGCTTTCCTACAGTCAATTCTCTTCATATATGCCAACATTACCTTTTAAAACTACAAACAAGTTCAGGTTACTTCTTCCTTGCTCAAAGTCTCAAATATCTTTTTATCACACACAAATCAAAGGTGGCTAAGAATGGTCTGGGTCCTGCATACCTCTCCAATGTCATCTACAGCATCTCTGACTTTCTCGCACTGCTCTGGTCACAGTGGTCTTCTTTTTCTCTAATACACTAAGCTTATTCCTTCTTTAGGGTCTTGACTTTTGCCTTTCTCCCCAAAACTTATATTGTGTGGCTTGCTTTCTCACTTTATTCAATATTCAACAAGTCTTTAGAGAGGTGGCCCCTCTGACTACTCTATCTAAAACAGCAATCCCATTTACATACTCTCTCTCTATCGATTTTGCCTTATTTTGCATTTACTTTATGGCACTTTTCACTACTTGATATTATCATTAATTTCACTGGTTTGTTGACTGGCACCTTCTCCACTAGATTATAAATTCCACAAAGGCAGGAATTTGGTCTGTTTCTGTCTTCTCTAATTCCAGTGACTAGAATGATTCTTGTTACATGGAATGTGCTCAATAAATGTTTGTTGAATAAACTATTACTATTTACATCCACCTTTACAGGAACATTTTGAAGGAGGACAGCATAACAGGGAGGTGTCCTAATAGCATGATAGATGGTGAAAAGAAGACGTGATACAGAGTTAGACAGAGTTCAACTTAGACTGGCTGAAACAGTAAGTTTGCCCTTAACTATTTAACCATTTGATTTTTGAAAAGTTGCTTACCTCTCTAAATCTGTTTTTGGTTTGTTTGTTTGATTTATAAATAGGAATGATAATACCTATTTTTCAAAGCTTTTGTAATGACAAAAATAATTCATATGGAAATATTGGCATTATGCATGTCACTGCAACTGATCAATTCCTTCAGGGCTATCATCATTCAGGACACAGTCCTAGGGTGAGGAAATTAACCTCAGTTTGAGTTCAAATGACAAATATCAATTTAATAAAACAAACTCTTTTCATTTCAGGAAATGTTGATGTTCACATTAGAAAAAGGGTCCAGTAGCATTTGGAAAAATGCCTGCTTAATATTACTCTATCTAAGCTTTGTTAAACTTTGTATTTTAGTAAATTACTCAGTAAAGTTTGAGCATAGTGGAGCACTTTCTCATTGAATTAAAAACATTCCATTTTTAACTGTAAACACACGTTCTCAATTTACTATTCTCCATAGGTTAAGACATTTATTAATTATAATCTATACTAAACTATTGAAAGAGATGATAAAGGAATCAAAGAAATTCCAAATCCCTCCAGAAATGATTTAGTCTTTTTTTCCTGACTCAAGAAGCCAAACTTATTACTCTACAAATAGCTTTCACTTTAGAAGACTCTAACTGAATATATAAAATCTATTAGGTATATTATCATTTATATGAAAATTTTATTGTGTTCAGATAAAATGTGCACTTCCAATCTTACTAGAATTTCCTCCTAATTAAATAAACATATCGCTGGCAGATTCAAATAATTTAAAATGTTTTGTTTCAGACATATAATTTTTAAATAATAAAAACTTTCTAAGCTTTCAAACAAGGATTTTACACCTATTACACTTATTTTATTTCTAGGAACAGAGGCTAAAAGAATGCATCTCCCATTTTTAAATAATCATATACATATGTGTGTATATATATATGATATAACGTATCCTGTACATATATATGTATGTATAGGACACATTAAGGCAACTCAAAAATTAATTTTAAATTCTTCAATCTAAAAACAATAAGAAACATTGTTCCTTACAAAAGTGCTATTTTATTAGGCTAACTTGGTCTATGTAATAAATGTCATTTGTAGTTTAGAGCAAGAGTGATTTATAGCTAGAAAGATTTAGAATTTAGTTTTTGTAAATAATTATCTTATTATGAAGACTGAAACTATTTGATATTTATCAAAAGGCTTCAGGAATATTCTGCTGCCAAACACACAGATTCCTCCTTTGTGAGTGATGTTTGTTAATATATTAAATGAAGTCATTTCGGAGAATATGAGATATGCACATCATTCATGTATTCATTCATTCTATTGTTTATTTGCTACATATTTATTGAGTGACAGCTATGTGTTCACCATGGCTCTAAAGAATGGGATATAGCAATGAAGAAAGAAGATGGTGGTATGCATAAGTAGATGTTCCTATTCAAGTCTAAAGAACATGTCGAGCTCACATTGAATGGTGTATGATATACAAATATACCTCTCAGAACACAAAACATTTTGCATATCAAACCTGTCTTCCAGGGGATAACCCTTAAGCTAAAGCTAAATTAACAAAGTACCAAAATATGGAGTCATTTAAATTAATTTGGTTGAAAAGTTGGTCATCCAATTATATTATATCATATAGATTGAATTGTAGATAAATTGAAAGCTAGTTTTTTTGTTTTATTTTTAATGGGACATGGTGCACCTTAGATTTGGTCATCAGCTACTTATATCATGTTTGACTTTCCAAGCTTCAAATCTGGTACCCTAACAATTGGACCAGTTCTATAAACTTACTCCTATGTAGGATGATATTAATGTTTTATTCAGTTTAAATAAATCTTGACTCTCCTATGCTTAACAGGATTTTTCAATACATTATATTTTGGAGCTGGCATTGTATAAATATGAAAATAGTCACATACCGCTGATTCTGGCTGTTTGGTTAGCTTGAGAAATGAACTGATAGTCACAGAAATTTATATCATTGTCATTAACTTCAAACACTTGTAAGCTACTCAACTTCTGGTAGCATGGAAGTGTTGTATCAGTTGTATAGGACTGTTAAGCCACTTTTAAAAAGTCTTTGATCTGCTGGGCGCGGTGGCTCAGGCCTGTAATCCCAGCATTTTGGGAGGCCAAGGCAGGCGGATTACAAACTCAGGAGTTTGAGACCAGCCAGGCCAATGTGGTGAAACCCCGTGTCTACTAAAAATACAAAAATTAGCCAGGCATGATGACACGCGCCTGTAGATCCAGCTACTTGGGAGGCTGAGGCAGAAGAATCGCTTGAACCCAAGAGGCAGAGGTTGCAGTCAGCCGAGATCATGCCACTGCACTCCAGCCTGGAGACAGAGCGAGACTCCGTCTCAAACAAACAAACAAACAAACAAACAAAAAGTCTTTGATCATATTTGTAACTAAAAATTAAAGACTCTAATGTGATATAAAATGAAATGAAACATGAAAATACCACTTTAACAAATAACCCAGTATAAAAAGAAAATAAAAGAAAAACTAGCTAACTGACTAAGAAAATTAATTCTTTGTATCTTAAAGGGTAGTTGGCAGTGGGTCCTGGCTAACTGAAGAGCAGATACAGAACTCTGGAATACTGAACCATAGCATGAATTGATACGAACTGCATTTTGGCTATAATCATATTAGCACATAGAAACAAAAGAAGGTTGGACAGAGTGCACAGTGATCTCTCTACTATAGATCAATTTTGTAGGCTTGCTTCTCCTGTTGATGATAAAATAAACTGCTCTTATTCTATGATGAATAAACCCACAAATACTCCAGGACACTTAGATGGGTTGAGGAGTAATTTAAGTATGTGGTCCACTTGGGACATAACAGGGTATAGCTAGTGACTGCTCTGTAAACATAGCTGTCTGGGAAGTGGAAAACACTGTGATGCAATGTGGGCTCTGAAGGACAGTATCTAAGTTAAGAAAAGAGCAGCTATATCACAATAACACAATGGTACCTTAGAACTGATTAAATGATAAAAGTCATCTAGTTCAAAGGAAGAATGAGAAAGGTTATTGCACAGTAGGTGGCAGAGTTAGAAATGAAATGCTGCTCTGGTTCTCAGGCAAATATTTTAGGCCCAGACTCATAATTTCATTCTGCAATTTATTTGTAAGTTTATTTGCTAGACATTGCTTTATCATTTTTCAAAGATTGCAAATAAAAGCTTAGTATCAATTAAATAAAAATATTTGATTCCTAAAACAGAAATTAAAAGAAAGATAGTTTTGTACAAAAGTGCATATTTCCTCAACAAAACTCTCAGTATTATATTAAGAAAATCACTTAGCAGGGATGAAAGATAAAAATGTATACTATCAATTTACATTAAGAGATATAACAAGAGTGTGTTATATATATAAGAGTGTGTTTAAATAACTCTGTCCGTTATTTAAACAGAGTGAGAAAAATAATGGTTTTCATCAGCTCTAAAACTCATGGAACTTCTCTCTGAAAATAAACCATGCTGAGAAGCCTTTAAGAAGTTAAATAGCAGAAACTCTCTTGAGAAGTAAATGTTAAAATTATGGCAATATCCCTTAGAGTTTTCACTTAGAATTAAAGCTTTTCTTTTCTTTATTTTAAAAACTTTTATTTCAGGTTCAGGGGTGCATGTGAAGGTTTGTTACACAGGTCAACTTACTGGCATGGGGGTCTGTAGTACAGATCCTCTCATCACCCCGGTCTCCAGCCTAGTACCTAACAGCTATCTTTTCTGCTCCTCTCCCTCCTCCCACCACCCACCCTCAAGTAGACCCAAGTGTCTGCTGTTTCCTTCTTTGTGTTCATGAGTTCTCATCATTTAGCTTCCATTTATAAATGAGAACATGTGGTACTTGGTTTTCTAGGGAACTACATTTCTTCTATACCTTTGTCATGTTGTAAATCTGTTTTATTATATTGTGTGTTACAGTTCTTAGAGCAAATTTCCTCTGAATGCCGTGTGATGTGGTTTCTTGCCAAAAGGGAATGTTTAAAGTAAAGTTGAGTAAATCTAGTTTATCGTCATGCATATCAAAACACTGCCTAGCTCTGATAACACTCATCTCACTTCTTTCTTTTCTTCCTCTAAAGCGTCATTTTGATCCCAGTGTTGCAAAAATTAATGTTCTAAATTCATATTCCCTATTGTGTTTTGTATATGCTGTAATTCATCTAGTTTTCAACACAATACAGGTTGTGCATCCCTAATCTGATAATCCCAAATCCAAAATGCTCCAAAATAACAACTTTTTGAGTGCTGATATGATGTGGAAAATTCCACACCTGATCTCACATGATGGGTCACAGTTAAAATGCAGTCAAAACTTTGTGTAATGCACAAAACTATTAAAAAATATTGTATAAATCATCTTCATGCTATGTTCATAACTGTATATAAAACAAATGCATCCCTGGTTACTCCTGGGCCTCATTCTCAAGGGATTTCAATACATATATATGTAAACATTCCAAAATCCAGAAAAATATAAAAATATGAAACACTCCTGGTTCCAAGTGTTTTGGATAAGGGATACTTACTCTGCCTGGCTTAATTGAGTGTAAAGTCTTTGTATAAAGAGACACAAGAGATCACAGATGGCAGGCCCTGTGGGATGACATCTGAAGTGCACTGATTGCTAGGGCTGGAAGCCTGAGACTAGACACTTAAATTTTTCCTGTGCTACTTGGTAGCTCTGTAACCTTAGAGCTAGTCCTTTTTGCCATCATGAGTCTCAGTTTCCTCGTGTACAAAGTGGCAAGAATAAGTGAGGAAGATATCTGTCCTACAAGTTTTATAACGTTTTTAATGAAGATCAATGCAGAAAGTGCTTAATAAATCTTTCTGTTGATGTTCTCACTCTCATATTTCCCCCCACATTCAACCTAGTTCTATTGTCAAGATTTACACATCTTTTTGTAAAATCTAAATTGCTGTAGAAACATAGGGTAGTGTTATTCTATCCGGCAATGTGCCAGGCTGCTATGCAGGGCTTTGCTACTGGCGAGCTTTTCCTTTTATTCAGTTTGGTACACAGAGAGGTTCCACAATGTCAATGATTATTATTTTTATTCATTTTAAAGACAGTTTCACTTGTGAAACATGTAACCAACACTCTGTGACTTCACTAGGATCACAATAACCTGAACTTTGTTTATGAATTTAAAAGTATCTTTCATGAGCAAATATAATTATTCTGGTGAAACTATGTGAGGACCAAAGTCACTGAAAAGTTTATGACTTACTGTAACTGTAAGAATAGAAACACAAATTTGGCACACCAGTGCACATTATCAGTTTTTAAAAGCTACATTTTAAAAATAAATGTATAATAACTGTGGGATCTGCACTGATTGGACAGGAAATGTATAATGAAACATGACTTTGGAAAAATTACAGCATGCGCACCCATTGGGCAATATGACATGAATTACAAATATTACAAAGTGAATTCATTCTGTTGTTTTCTTTTTCAATGATTACTTATTCTGTCATCTGTTAATACTGATCATAAATTGTGTCACTTCCAGGAAAGTTTCTCTAATTACAAAGTGAATTCATTCTGTTGTTTTCTTTTCAATGATTACTTATTCTGTCTTCTGTTAATATTGATCATAAATTGTGTCACTTCCAGGAAAGGTTCCCTAATAAATCCAGAGGAACAAATAACACTCTCCCAATGAAAGCTTGTTTTACTCCACAGTGAGTCATCATGGACATGACCTTTCTTTCGCCATCGTATGAAAAGATGTGCAGATATTGGCTCTGCACTTCCACATCCAGCTAAATCCCTCCTCAGCTCTGAAGTCTGGCTACACAAATCTGTAACCATCTTCTTGTTCCGGGAACTCTTGTGGCATGGTTGTCTAAAGTACATAGTTGATCAAAAGCATATATTAACTTACCTTGCTTTGCATCTTTCTAAATATAAATTCTGACTACATCTAGGTGTGATTCTCTTACATCTGATACTTCTCTGCAACTTTTGTCTCAGCATAGTAACCACCTAATTGGGCCAACATACAAATCCTTGAGGAAATTAATGAAGAACTGACGGTTAAGAAACCTTCCTGATAATTTAACTCTTGCTTCCCTGAACAGATTCACTCCTTTCACGACAGGGAAGGTGTTTTGATTCCTCTAATTTCTTCAGTTTAACACACTGATAGACCAGAGGGACAGGAAGAAATTGTTTAATAAATCTCTCCATAGCTGTCCTCGCTCTCACATTTGCCCTCACACTCAACCTTATTCTACTATCAAGAGTCAAAAAGTGCCATCGGCACCTGGCTCCTCTACCTCCTTGTGATGGTCCCTGTCTTCAGTTGGAGCAATCAATTAGGAAAGCTCATATATTTCCCTTTTCAAGTAACTGATAAGATCTTATGAGGCCTGCCTTTCTCTACTCCTGTTAGCAAGTAATTAACTTTGGAATTACGAAACACCAAATCCCCAAAGGGCAACAATAACAACCACAGAATGCAGCCAAAAAACATATGAAAAAATGCTCATCATCACTGGCCATCAGAGAAATGCAAATCAAAACCACAATAAGATACCATCTCACACCAGTTAGAATGGCGATCATTAAAAAGTCAGGAAACAACAGGTGCTGGAGAGGATGTGGAGAAATAGGAACACTTTTACACTGTTGGTGGGACTGTAAACTAGTTCAACCACTGTGGAAGTCGGTGTGGCAATTCCTTAGGGATCTAGAACTAGAAATACCATTTGACCCAGCCATCCCATTACTGGGTATATGCCCAAAGGATTATAAATCATGCTGCTATAAAGACACATGCACACATATGTTTATTGCGGCACTATTCAGAACAGCAAAGACTTGGAACCAACCCAAATGTCCAACAATGATAGACTGGATTAAGAAAATGTGGCACATATACACCATGGAATACTATGCAGCCATAAAAAATGATGAATTCATATCCTTTGTAGGGACATGGATGAAGCTGGAAACCATCATTCTCAGCAAACTATCACAAGGACAAAAAACCAAACACCACATGTTCTCACTCATAGGTGGGAATTGAACAATGAGAACACATGGACACAGGAAGGGGAACATCACACTCAGGACTGTTGTGGGGTGGGGGGAGTGGGGAGGGATAGCATTAGGAGATATATCTAATGCTAAATGACAAGTTAATGGGTGCAGCACACCAACATGGCACATGTATACATATGTAACAAACCTGCACGTTCTGCACATGTACCCTAAAACTTAAAGTATAATAAAAATAAAAAAATAAAATAAAAATAACAACCACAGAAACCCAAACCAAACAAAGAAAACAAAAAGCCCCAAAGATCAACCTTTCAGCCTGAGGCTGCTCATAATACACATTGCAAAGATCTTCATTCCTCTCTTAAAAATGTAAAAGAGGGAAATGACACAGGTTATTTAACATATTGTCCTTGGGCTTTGATATAATTTGCTTGTGAAGAGTTGATAGGCAAGACCTGTTTTCTAATTAGGTAAATTTGAAAAAGCCCAAAATGAGCTAATCTCGCTGGTTCTAGCTGAATCTTTGGTTTAGCTCCTGAGTTGCTGGAACTTGCATTCTAATTTAGTTCTATCTTCCCAGTAAAACTGTCCTGAGAGGTCCTGGACTGTCGCCCCACAGTGCAATGGTCCTAGGAAAGTGATAGGGCACCAAACAGCTTCAACACCTACCAAATCAGTTAGCGGAACGTTGCAATTAATGGTCCTTTCCTAAAGATTAATAATGAATATCAGTGCATTAAGACGTAGATTATCTTTTGTACAAAAAAAAAAAAAAACGCAACAAACAAAACACTTTCCTTTTCTAATCTTATGCAAATCCTCCAGCATTCTAAAGGCATGCTTTATAAAGTACTGGGATACATATCGAAAACATTTCTTAGATGCTTTAAATAAATTCTCCCTTCATCTGAGTCTTAGAATTCATCTACTAATTACTTTAATAATTTAGGAGGCTTGGATGAATTGGGAAGGGCTCAAATTTATATTCACCCAAAGGAAATATGGATTAAGAAGATTGCTTTCTTATGGGCCTTTTCTCCAGAGATAGTTGTCTGAATTAAGGATGAAAATGTCAGGTCAAACTCATTTCTTATTACAATCTAGCAATCTAAATGGCAGCTGTTGAGATGAGTCCAGAGAGGGTTACATTCAGATTTCTAATCAAGGGAACACCTTTATTGACTACTTAATAATCAATTCTTCTTCGCATCTCTTTAACTTTCAGGGGAATAATTTTTACTAGATTAAAGTGGTCACCTCTTTTTAAAGTAACTTTGACCCTAGGTATAGCCACCCCTCCCGCCGACACACACACACATACACACTTTGGTATTGAGATCTATTTTAGTGATTTATCTATCTACATAGCAAGCTGTTCCTCCCAAAAAGAACAGTATACATAATGGAAAAGTTATAAATATATACATCAATCATTTTCCTCTTCAGAGCATAGTTAGCATAGTTATGCTTTTTAATTCTCCTTTACATTTCCTTACCTAACTGAAAAGGCTACAAAAGTAACTTACTAAAGAATCTCACATACACATACATATACCAACAGTTCCTACTCTTAGGTAGAATAAAGAAAAAAAGTTATATGCATCTTTCAAAAGAAGTAAAAGTAAGTCAGAGAGAGAGTTTCTACTTTTAGTTAGATTCAAGAAAAAATTACACATACTTTTAAAAAGAATTCAAAGTCAGTCAGAGAAAGAAAATGTCCAATCGAAAAGAAATACATTAAAACTAAAGACAGTTGTAATGTCTCCTTTTTTATTTCTGATGTTGTTTATTTGGATCTTCTTTCTTCTTTTCTTGGTTAGTCTGGTTAGTGATTTACCAATTCTGTTATCTTTTCAAAAAAATTCTTCATTTTGTGATCCTTTTTTTTCAATTTCCATTTTGTTTAGTTCTGCTTTTATCTTCATCATGTCTTTCTTTCTGCTAATTTGGGGCTTGTTATTTCTTGATTTTCTAGTTATTTGTGGTACAACATTAGATTGTTTATTTAAAACCTTTCTACTTTTTAAGGTAAACATTTACTGATATATACTTCCTTCTTAGTATTGCTTTTGCCGTATCTCACACGTTTCCATTTTCACTATTTCAAGAAATGTTTTGATTTCCATCTTAATTTCTTCATTGACCTAATGATTGTTCAGGAGCATACTGTTTAGTTTCCATGTATATATAGTTTCCAAAGTTCCTCTTGGTATTGATTTCTAGTTTCATTCCACTGTAGTTTGAGAAGATACTTGATATAATTTCAACTTTTAAAAATTTGTTGAGACTTGTTTTGTGGGCTAACATATGGTCTATCAAGAATGTTCTATGCGCTGATGAGAACGTTGTATATTTGGCAGTTGTTGGCTAAAATGTTCTGTAAAGGTTTGTTAGGTCCATTTGGCCTAAGTCAGCTAAACAGAAATACAAAAGATCACCAGAGACTACTAGTAACAACTACATGCTAACAAACTCGAAGGCCTAAAGAAAATGGATACATTCCTAAAAACATACAACCTACCAAGATTGAATTTAGAAGAAATAGAAAACCTGCACAGACCAATAATGAATAGTGAGATTGAACCAGTAATAAAAAGTCTCCCAACAACAAAAAGCCCAGGATTAGATGAAATCATTGCCTAATTCTACCAAATGTATAAAGAAGAACTAATACCAATCCTCCCCAAGTTATTCCAAATAATTGAAGACGAGGAAATTCTTCCTAACTAATTCTATGAGGCATTCTATGAGGCCAGTATTATCCTGATACCAAAACCAAACAAGGGCACAATAAAAAAAGAAAACTATAGGCCCAAATTCATGATGAATATAGATGCAAAAATCCTCAAGAAAATACTACCAAAACATATTCAATAACACAACAAAAATACAATACACCATAACCAATTGAGATTTATACCAGGGATGCAAAGATTTATAATGAGGATGTGTGAATCAATCAACATGATACATCACATAAACAGAAAGATGGACAAAAACCATATGATAATCTCAATAGATGCAGAGAAAGTATTTGATAAAATTTCATATCCTTTCATAATAAAAACTCTCAAGAAACTAGGCATTAAAAGACCATACCTTGAAATAGTAAAGGTCATATATGATTAAGCCACAGCTACACAAATTTAATATTTAGGAAAACTAAAAGACTCTACCAAAAAATTATTAGAACTGATAAACAATTTCAGTATACATAATGGAATACTAATGGAATACTATTTGATCATAATACAAATGAAATCATGTCATTTGCAGCAACATGGATAGAACTGGAGGTCATGATGTCAAGTGAAATAAGCCAGGCACAGACAGACAGACAGACAAATTGCCACATGTTCTCACTCATATATGGCATCTAAAATACTTTATCTCATCAACATACTATAGTAATAGAATAATAGATACTAGAGGTTGGGAAGGTGTGAGGCTAGGAGAAAGAAATGAAGAGAGGTTGGGAAATGAGTACATACAGTTATATAGAAGAAATAAATACTAAAGTTCAATAGCAGTGACTATAGTTAGCAACAATGTACTATATATTTCAAAATAGCTAGAAGAGAGAACTTGAATTGTTACCAACACATAGAAATGATAAACACTCAAAGTAATGGACAACTCAAAACTATGACTTCATTATTATTCATTCTATGCTTGTAACAAATACAAGTACACCATAAATATGTAAAATACTATGTATCAATAAATGAAAACAACTAAAGACAAAAATAATAACTTATTTAAAAATGAGTCTAAAGAAGTGTCTGACACAAGTTCTGGGGAGCTAACGTACAACACGAGTGATGATGATGGATGTGTTACTAAACTGGATTATCATAATGATTACAAAATACATGTATATATGGAATTATCGTGTGGTATATCTTGAATAGATACAATTTTTACTTCTCAATTAAATATTTTAAAATATAAACAAAAAGCAAACAAAAAAGAGATGACTGACAAATGCATTCTTTGCATTTGAAGATCTACTTAATTGTAAGAATTACTTATGATGTATACATCATAAACAATGTACAGAGTAGTACACAAATTACCTTTGACACATCTTTAAATTAATTTAACTTTATATATTTCGAGGAACAAATAGATATTGGACAGCACAAATTTAGTCGAAACCCTATAATGTATTATAGCAACTTGTCTTTTGCAAGAGTATAGCTACTGAGTAATATTTTAGCATATATGTTTCTACTAATTTAACAATTTCAAAACTGAACAAAAGTTTAAGTATAGGCTATTTGCTTGTGTATTGTCCCTCCCACCCTGTAAGAGCATGCTTAGTGTAAATGAAAAAAATGCATTTGGCTACTCAGATTGCATTGAAATTTGAAGCTGAAGAGATTTGTTCTTTTCAAGAAACAACTGGGTATCAAGGTTCCCATTAGTCTTATTAGACTTTTCCTCTGCACTGTATACTGTGGACCCATTTACTAACTGACATGGGGTAAAATGACAAATTATCTCATTATTAATGAAAAAACCCATAAAATTATTTCCATATTTAAATCACTTGCAAGATTACAGTTCAAATGACACAATAGCACTGCACAATTTAAACTCAAACCTTTCTGTAAAGCTGAAAAGCAGATTAAATTTGAATAATTAATTTTAATGTTTTCATTTATATGTAGTGCATTAAAATTTTACTTACTCTGAGCCATTAACCATGGACTGTAACTCAATTTCTAGGATTTAGAGATTATTTCAGCACAGATTAGCTTTGGTATTTATACCAGGCAAACCTTATCAGAGGCAATGCAAAATTTGTAAGTATACTTCATTCTTAATTGGCCTGATGCAGCATGCTATGACTAAGCAGACCATTCATAGAAAATCGCTCTCCAAGTTATTGTATTTATTTTCTGGAAAATATTCTTTGTTCATTAAATTTCAATCACTTTTTAAATACAACCTGGTACTTTGACATTACTGTTAATAGCCTATCTTAAAATCAAACATCATTTAGAACAACCAAGAAAAATGTTTTAATAAGCTTCCTTTAGCATCAAGTGCCTCATTTGCTCTTTCCTTCTGTCTAGTAATACATCAAGTTTTCAATCATTTATTAATTCATTTAATTACTATTTGCTGAGCACCCATTATATATAGGGCCCTGCCCCAGGTTTGTTTCAGGGTATAAATGTGTAAGTGCAAAACCTAGTCCTGTTGTCATTGACCCCACAGTAAGGGTGACATGGTATAAGGCAGGCAGCGTGGTAAAAGCTGGAGTAGGGAGAAAGGGCACTGACAAGGAATCAGAATCCAGGAGTTTCTATCATGAATCTCTGACTTGGGGTCCAAGTAGAAGAAAACCTCAGTCCATAATAGTTCAAATATTTAGTGAAAATTAGTATTTCACACAACATGAAATATCAAAATACGGTAGCTCTAGGGTTGCTTAATTCAGGGGCCCATTAGCACCCTTAAGAACACAACTTCTTTCTATTTTTTTTTTCACTCTATTACCTTTTGAGTATTGACTTTTATCTCTCTAAGTAGCTTCCTTCAATATTCCAAGATGACTGACAAAATTTGGGGCATTAAGAGCCAACATGACAACGCTCAACCTTTAGTATTCAACAAAATGACATTTACCTAAAGAAGAGCTATCTCTCTCTCTCTCCCTTTTTTTCCTTTGGAACTCCAACTTTTAGCAAGGAAACCTTTCCCAGAAGCCCTCCAGTAGATATTTTTGTGTCCTGTTGGCAAGAAATGGATTATGTCCCCACCCTTAAATGTATCCCTTGAAATGAGTTTACCTTGAAGGACTTGACTTGCTGCAGTGACCTCGGCTAAGCAACTCAATCTCTCTAAACATCAGCTTCTTTCTCTACAGCATTTTCCTCTAGTCCAGGGGTCCCCAACCCCTGGGCCATGAACCAGTACTGGTCAGTGGCCTGTTAGGACTTGGGTTGCAACAGCAGGATGTGAATGTCAGGCAAGGGAGCGAAGCTTCATCTGTATTTATAGCCACTCCACATCACTCCCATTACCGCCTGAGCTCCACCTCCTGTCAGATCAGCAGATCATCAGACTGTCACTATCTCCCATCACCCCCAGATAAAACTGTCTAGTGGCAGGAAAACAAGCTCAGGGCTCCCACTGACTCTATATTATGGTGAGTTGTATAATTATTTCATTATATATTACAATGTAATAATAATAAAAATATAGTGCAAAATAAATGTAATGCACTTGAATCATCCTGAAACTATTCCCAACCCAGTCTGTGGAAAAATTGTCTTCCACTAAATTGGTCCCTGGTACCAAAAAGGTTGGGGTCCACTGCTCTGCTTCTAGTACTACCTCTATGCACCCATGCTACTGAAGTCATGCACTTGCCAACAGAATCAAAGATAAATTATATGAAAGCAATTATGCCAGCATAATGTATTAGGCAAATATTTGGCATCATGATTGTATGTAATATGATTATATGTAATAGGATATTATTTTAGGGATACTCTAAAACCATGTACACACAAGAGTGGGCCTTTGCCACAGTGAGTTTAAAGTGTGTTCCTTGCAGCCTTTGCCACATCACTAAAAATGGGCAAATCATATTTTCTTAAAGGAATTAATTGGGACTGAACAATGGCTCATTGGGTTTGGGTTTCTTGCCTGAAAAAATATGACATAAATTTGGTTTCATAAAAAAAATTCTGTTACCTTGCTACTCAACGTGTGGTCTCTGGATGGGCAGCACTGGCATGACCTGGGGACTGGTTAGAAATGCAGAATATATGGATTTCTTTCTCACTCCAGGAATATCCAAGATGATCTCACTAAAGGATGTACTGACTCAGAATCTGCATTTTAACAAGATGTCCAGGTAATTCATATGCACACTGACTTTTGTAGGACACCACTGTTGGAGAATATAAGATTTCTGTTTTGATCCCACAGATATTTTAAATCTCACTATTTCATTAGAATTATGCTAACATTGATGCTTTATGAAAAGAGCATTTTCTGAAGCAAATAGCACTGAGCCAATTTAATTATTTAATCAATTTCCTTTTCAGAGAATATTTGTTTCCATCTTTCTTTTTTATCTTCATAAAATTATTTATTCCATGTTTCAATTTTACAACAGAGATTCAGTTCAGTCATCATTTTTTTTCATGGAGTTTTACTATTTAACCTTCTGCCTCTGCATTTTTCTTGTGGGCATTTCTACCAAGTTCAATTTTCTTGGATTAAATTTATTAGGTCTAACTTTTTTCAAAATATTTGATTATTCTTTTAATATTCAGTCAGTACAAAATTTTGCTATCTCTGGATTTAGTCAAAGCCAATCTTATTTTCACTTGATTATTTCCAACTGTAATTTTCACCGTGAACTAAATAAAATCTGCTTCAAATCATTTAAATAGCTGCAACTATTTTGATACATCATCTACTAAGTTCTTAAACAGAAAAACCACGCCTTATCTTCATTAGGCTCAAAATGTCTCATGTAAGAATGTATCTTGTCCAGCACTTTGGGAAACCAAGGCAGGCTGATCACTTGAGCCCAGGAGTTTGAGACCAGCCTGGCAACATGGCAAAACCCGTCTCTACTTAAAAAAATAAAAAATACAAAAAATTAGCCAGGTATGGTGACATGCGCCTGTACTCTGAGCTGCTTGGGAGGCTGAGGTGGGAGGATCACCTGAGCCCAAGAGGCAGAACCTACAGTAAGTTGTGGTGGTGCCACTGCACTCCAGCCTGGGTGGTGGGCTGAGACCCTGTCTCAATAAACAAAGAAATAAGTAAATATAAAGGGACATATCTTGCTTTAGCTCTGGTGTCCTTTGAGCTCAAGCTAGATTACATTAGCTATGTTATATACAATATAAAGACATTACCATGGAGAACAGCATGTGTCGCTTACTATAAGAGTGTCTACAAGTTAAAATACTACTGAAGTATAAGCCCCAAAAGGGTAATCTATATCTCATTCATGTTTATCCCCCTGTAAGAATCTGTGGTGCATCACAAGTGTTCAAAACATTTGAGTTGCAGAGAGAGATTACAAACACAGCAGTCTTCAAACATATGCTGTAAGAATTCAGAGAAGGGAAGCTTGGTCCTATCTGTGTTTCTAGATAGTTTTCATGTACTAGTTGGCATCCCTTCTGGAAGGTATAGCATAGTTCAAAGATGGAGATGGAAATGTCTAGTGCTTTTTATGGGACACCATCCATTTTTATTTTATTTTATTTTATTTTATTTTATTAAGTGTAAAATTCTTATGAGATAGCCTTGAAATGTAAATTTGGGAAAATAGGGACACTTTGAAGGGGAATCTGAGCATGCTGATCAGTGAGATAATTGATCTGGTAGCGAAGTGCTTATTATACAGGATAGACAGCAGGGAGTGGGATGAGAGAGGGAAGTGGTAAAAAACTGATAGTGTAATTAGTATAAATGATATTGCAGAGGCAATATGAGTCTGAACTCAAAAAAGAAAATCTGAAGTGAAATAAAAAGGGTGGATCCTGAAGACACTTTGTAATATTGGTGCCCCTGACCCTTGGGCCTCTTGTTTCCATGCTGTATGTTGTCTCTGAGGAATTTAACCTTTCCTCAAAGTATTTGTCTACTCTTTCCTGAACTGTGGACAACACTGAATTCACTTAAGACTGACTCCTGGGCATTTCTACTACCATATTTTATATGAACTCCAGTGTCCCAAGAATAATCCTCCACGTTTTTTCCTAAATTAAGATTTCTTTTTTTGGTGACTGCATTGTGAAATGTAATAATCGGCCTCATACACTACTATCCATGCAGGACTATCAATTTTATCATGTAATTCCCTCCCCCATTTTTTTCCTGCCTATTCCTACTTTCCTTGCTTTACTCAGGGGCTTATTATTTCCCGTCTGCCTTTATAGTATTTTCCTAACTGGTCTTCCTGTCTAGTGTCTCCATCCTCCAAGTCCATTCTTCACATAGTAGCCAGATTAATCATTCTGGATTGCAAATCTAACCATGTCACCCTTTGACTTAAAATCTTCCAATGGTTCCTAAATCTTGCTTTCAGGAAACGTAGTGAGTTATTATTGAAAAGGCAATATGATTTAGAATCAGACATGTAAACTTAAGTCTTGATTCTACCATACGTTAGTCATATGGCCTTGAGCAAGCTCTTTATCTGACCCTCAGTTTCAAAAAATTTACTTTATCTAAGACTATTCTGAAAATTAAGTGAAATTATACACACATACACACAGACACACACACACGTGACATAATCAATGGATACTTTATTAGAAAATGTTTAAACTTCAAAAAAAGTCCAAAGTTTTCTGATAATCTAAACATACAAACACATATATGTATGTATATGTGTGTAAAATATACAGTCACACACATGTATATATTCATGTAAACACGGAGTCTTAAATATATATATATACATAGATATACTAGTATATATAATATTGCTTTGTACAATCTCAAACTTGAATAAGATTCATGATATGGTTTGGCTGTGTCCCCACCCAAATTTCATCTTGAATTCCCACGTGTTGTGGGAGGGACCTGGTGGGAGGTAATTGAATCATGGGGGCAAGTCTTTCCCATGTTGTTCTCATGACAGTGAATAAATCTCACAAGAAGAGGAGTTCCAGCTGGATGTGGTGGCTCATGCCTGTAATCCCAGCACTTTGGGAGGCTGAGGCAGGTGGATCACGAGGTCAGGAGATCGAGACCATCCTGGCTAACATGGTGAAACCCCATCTCTACTAAAAATACAAAAAATTAGCCAGGTGTGGTGGCAGGTGCCTGTAGTCCCAGCTACTCTGGAGGCTGAAGCAAGAGAATGGCATGAACCTGGGAGGTGGAGTTTGCAGTGAGCCAATTGCGCCACTGCACTCCAGCCTGGGGGACAGAGGGATACTCCATCTCACAAACAAAACAAAACAAAACAAAACAAATAAAGAGGAGTTCCTCTGCACAAGTTCTCTCTCTTTGCCTGCTGCCATCCATGTAAAACATGACTTGCTCCTCCTTGCCTTCCGCAACGATTGTGAGGCCTCCCCAGCCATGTGGAACTCTAAGTCCATTAAACCTCTTTATTTTGTAAATTGCTCAGTCTTGAGTATGTCTTTATCAGCAGTGTGAAAAAGAACTAATACAATCCATCCATATTGAAGTCCTAAGTGTAGATATATACATATTTACCTTTCATGAAAAATAATAGAAATAAAAGCATAAAAATGAAAATTCCCTCAATGCTTTTATCAAAGGGAGTATTAAACTTTCATAAGGCTAAGTTATACGTTCACTTTGAGAAATTTAACCCTCAAAAGGGTTAAGATTAAGCGGATAATACTGAAATAACAGCAAGAAAAACTTCTATTATGGCAGGCTGCATTAATTAAAGTCTGTATCTACAAGTCAGAGGCAGGGACATCCTCACAGGGCACTCTACTCAAAATGATTAGAACATTTATGGAGCATTGTATACAATTCTGGAGACAACACTTTAAAAGATCTATTTAAAAAATTGCACCCAGGGAAAGATAAATAAGTTTGCTAATGATACCATATTCTATTTCAAATGCAAGTACAAGAAAGTGGCAAGAAACTCAGAAAAACTTTGTTTAAGGAAGATAAATCTAATAATTAGAATAATCCAGCAATGAATGGAGTTATCTGATTGAAATTATCTGGGTACAGGCTCGATGATCATATATCTCTAAAGGTCATGCTTAAATGACTCCAAACATCAGGACTTACTCGGATTTGAATGACCTAAAAGTCCCTTTCTAAAACAATGATGTAATTTTCAGACAAAAAGATAAATGCAGTGCAACACTAGTTATGGTACAAAGATACTTTTGTTTTTCTTTTGTGTTTATTTGTGCACTTTTAGTTCAGAAGTGGTTTTTAAATCTCCTATGTAGCACACTTTATAATTACACATATCTTTGTGTATCTAAAACATAAGTTCTTTAAAAATTAATTACGTTTCTCAGAAAGATCAAAGCATTGATCTACATTTTTTTCATGTTCAACCTTGTAACCTTTACTTCACAAACGTTAAACATGAGGTTAAATGGTGTTCCTTAAGGAGTAAATGCATCAGGAGTTATTCTAAAAATGTCTTGTCTACTAAGCAAAGCAATTTTCCAAGATACAGTTGGGATATGAAAAAATCGCACAAGAACATGTATACTGAATTTCTGTTTATTCCTAGGGCTGTATTTATACTGTCATAATATAGAAGAATTTCAAACATACTAATTTAAATGTGTATCTTAAAGTAACTGACAGATTATGCTGCAATGCTATACATTTTCAGAATTGGTATCCTAGTATCAATTCTGAATTCTATAATAGCAGACTCACAGGGGACCTAAGGGCTGGGAAGCAATCACAGCCTAGTGAGTGGTGTTAGCCTACACCTCCTGACTGCCTTCCTCTCAACTTCTCACACAACCTTGACCGTTTTCAGATTCTCCCACGTCTTCTGGCTTCAGTACACTTCTGTATGCTTGACTAGAGTCAGTCATTGTACTAGTGTGCTAGGGCTGCCATAACAAAGTGCCACCAACTCCTTGGCTTAAAAAAACAACATTTTTTTTTCTCACAGTGCTGGATGGAGGCTGGTAGTCCAAGATCAAGGTGTTGCCAAGGTTGGTTTCTTTTCAGGCCTGTTACTGGCTTGTGAATGGCCATCTTCTCTCCATGTCTTCACATGGTCTTTCCTGTGTGGGTGTCTGTGTCCTAATCTCCTCTTCTTTTAAGGACACTGGTCATATTAGACTTGGGCTTAACCTTATGACATCATTTTACCCCAATTACCTATTTAAAGATGCTATCTCCAAATATAATCACATTCTGAGATAGTTGGGGTTAGGACTTAAATATATAAATTTTGGGGCGACACAATTCAGCCCATAACAGTAACAAATAGTAATACACTAAGCTGATTTTTTAAAATATGAAATAAGTAATTGTTTGACATATTTTTCAAGCTTTGACTGGATGTTTTGGCATTAAGAAATTTTGCTAAATTCAAAAAGATGGATAATAATTTTTTACTTTAGAAAATTGTATTTTCAGACAAATTTTGGATACATTTTTGTGGCTGTGACTTAGTTGGTAAATCTACCCATGCAACACTTATCACCAGATGTTAAGGACTAAATGCTTAGTTTTCTTTGGAAGGTAATTCGGTCATGAATGTGGAGTCTTCATGAATGGAACTGGTATCCATGCAAGAAGAGACACGAGAGGTTCCTCTTTCTCTGCTGTCTACCATGTGAGGACACATCAAGAAGATGGTCATCTAGGAACCACGAAGAGTGTCCTCACCAGAACCCTACCATGCTGGCACTCTGATCTCAGGTTTTCCAGGATCTAGAAGAGTGAAAAGTAAATTTCCTTTTTTTAAGTCACCCAGTCTGTAGTATTTTTGTTATAGCAGCCCAAACTGACAAAGACACCAGACAAGCTCTAACTAAAAATGACACAAAAGCTTTTTTAATAACTTGAAATAATACAGAGGGATTTCAGTGTAATTTCCAATATGCTGGATATGTTACCACAGAATCTCGTTGAAGGCTCCATGAGCCATAATGAAGAGAAGCACAAAAGTAGTATTTGAAAAGCATACTTGTTCTCGAGACAGGACAAAATCAGTGTTTTCATTTTCTTATGGAAGAGTTTCTCAGAAAAGAATTCAGGTAAGATAGCTAAATGCCATTCCCCATTTAATTAAAAATAAAGTTTTATCTGAAATGAATTAAACACAACTCTGTTTAATTAAACCCAAAACCTTTAAGAGGATCACTCCAGTAAGATCAATTAACATTCTCTTCCATATTGAACATAATTAGAATGGCAATTCTTGTAATCCACTGGCATAACCTTTAAAACTTGCTTGGTCTTTAAAACATATGTGGCATTTCCTTAAAAATCCAAACAGCTAAATCATAAAACCACATACTAAGTTTAATGTTAGTGCTCATTTTAAAATTAAAACTATTCATAAAATAGAACTATTAAATCTTATTTGACAACTGGTATTTCTGAGTTACTTGAGAGTTCTGCATGAAAAATAGGTTCCAATAGGTGAAATAGGAAAATTAGATCTTAAATTAGTGAACTGGCATACAGAGCAAATATAAGATGAATTTGAATCATCACATTCTTTTTTTTTAAATAAACTAAGTTTCCTGTCAGGGTTTTTAAATATTTGCCTTAATTTATGAGTCACACAGCTTATGTAGACATAGCAAAATTTTGTTAATGCCAATAATAGTTTGGAAGAAAAGCTTTCATTTTCAAGCACTGTTCTGAAACATCCAGGAAAATCTGAAGAAACAGAAAAAATAATATTAACATGACCTTTGGCCACTGCTACTTTGTGATATGGTGATTACTAATGGGACTTTTTAAAGTATGCCTTACACTTTCAGAATTATACATGATATCATTTGCTACCAATATTTGGCAATATTTGCCAATATGCTGTTATGTTTCTCCCATCAAAAATAAAATATTTTGAAATATGCTCTATATGACCAGAGAGTGGTTGAGAAGATGTGCAAATGTAACATCCAACAGTGCTCAGGGACTTCCAAGAAGTTTGGCCTTGGGCATGCTCACCAAGGCATGGTAGAGCTTCAGGGTCCTCACGTTTGAATGGCCCCTCTGTTGGTTTCAAAGGCCGTATTTTCAAGTCTTCTGGCTGTCAGCCCAACAGGTATACCCATCAAGGAATTTCCAAGTTGTCCTTCAGACTCTCTGCTTTACATAATTTGCTTCTCTGATCCACTATTCCAGTGTAGGATGCTTCTCTGGAGATGACAACTCCTAACTCCTATGCTTTCTCTACTACTTCCATGTTGCATGGCTCTGCCTCTTGCTAGTTTGGTCATTAATTTCAACTTGATTATTTCCTGATCAAGAAAATAACTTTACACATGAGAAATCAAATCACTTGACCACTGAGGATTAGTAATTTATTTTCTTCATCTTTGCCATACTTAAATTTTTTTTCTAACGTAACTTCAAAATTGTTCTAGACAATCTACAAGACACATAGAATTCAAAGATATTAAAATACTAGGCCAGGCATAGTGGCTCATGCCTGTAATCCCAGCATTTTGGGAGGCCAAGGCAGGCAGATTGCTTGAGCTCAGGAGTTCAAGACCAGCATGACAAAACCCCGTCTCTACCTAAAAGAACAATAAAATTAGCTGGGTGTGGTGGCACACGCCTGTAGTCCCAGCTACTTGTGAGGTTGAGGTGGGAGGATGGTCTGGACCCAGGAGGCGGAGGTTGCAGTGAGCCAAGATCCTGCCATTGTACTCCAACCTGGGCGACAGAGCCAGACATTGTCTCTAAAAAAAAAAAAAAAAAAAAAATGGAAAAAAGAAAAGATTTGGAAAAGAAATTCAAAGAATCTGGTGTGTTTCTGGAGTTCTGGCACACTTCTCTGTGAGCTGCCAGCTATCACCTGATAGTTACACTCTGTGGGATATATTAAGTTAGTGATCTGGACTCTGAGTTGTATGTGACGTTACACTTTAATATGACAGTTAGACAACAAAGATAGGAAACTCTTCAGGGAGGGAATAGGGGGCACTAGCTGGCCAGTGGCTGTGATCAATCCAGGACAAAGCAGGGCAAGATTCTGAGCTCACAGGAAAAACTCCAGATTGAACTGGTGGACATAATATCTGTGTGTAGCTACTGCATGTAATTAGAAGACCAAAATTTTGGTAGATAAAAAGGCTTTGGCATTCAAATTTACTCATTTTAAAAGAGTAATTTGTCATGTATTTCCTAAATAGTTGCATCAATTTTACTAAAATTAGAAGAGCCACACATTGCAGGTGCATAATTACACTTGCCATTAAACACAAACACAGATGCACACAACAAAATTAGATGCAATCATTTCATTGAGAAAAGAATGCCACTCCTTTCTCATTCCACAGTTTTTATTTAAAAAATTAAACTAAGCTTTGATTTTTCTCAAAGACTGAAGGATATGCTGTGTGTGATTTTTTTTTATTTTGTCCACATTTTAGGTGGGAATTAGTGATGAGGTTATTCTAGAATAATGGAAACTTTATGCAACAGTAGGCTAGGCTTCCTTCAGTGTAGTCATGAAAATAATCACTATATCACAGTCAACTCTACATAGTAGACACTGCAAAAAACAAATCTGTCTTCGACCCATCTTAGAATGGCCCTTGCTATAATTTTACCTACCATATCCAAGTGGGGAAAAAGACAAGGGAGGGTGTTCATTCATTGGTTATGAGCCTAGCAGTATGGTTACACCTTTCATAGATGCCATCTTATTTCAGTTCTACAATAATCCCTTGAGGTAATGTTGGCTCCATTTTTTAAGATGAGGAGTCCTGGGATGGTGAATTCATAGATCCAGCTAATAAGGATAGTAAAATGCAGAGCTAGAAATTTGAATTGCAGTAATTTGGATCTAGTTTGGTATTTTACCTCCTCACCCCTGGGAGATACGTTTTCTCTAGTCTAAGCCAGGCTGGCCATGTCACTGATATCGAGTCTCACGGTATAAATCCTGTAGGCCTAAGTGAGTACATTTCTTCTAGTATTTGGACTTTTAGAAGACAAATTTTATGATGATTTATCTTAAATAAATTTTTCTGGGACATTTTTTGTCATAGACTGTAAGACCATACTGATGTTTTTTTAAAATTGAGATTAAAAACTTAGAATGTTTTTCAAGCTAATACGACTTTGGGAATGATTAAACTGAATTCCACATCAGAATTCTCACTAGTATTAGTCCTAGTAAAAATAATTCATTGGAGTATATATATATATGAATAAAGCTTTTTATTCTAGACTTGATGCAACTTTAGCGGTACCAGGGAGCAAAGTTCATCCTTATGTCATTATAATGACTAAATCTTAGCAAAGATCCTGCTGATTAATTCAGTTTTCTCATGGTAGGATCATAATTTCATTTCCCTTCTTTCCAATTCTTATTGCACAAACTTTTCAGTTTTAATATTAAATAATGTATTTTAAACTTTTTTAGCTAGTGGATTAAGCAATAAAACCAGTTACAGTTTTAAAAATAATGGTGATCCCTTAAAATTAGATTCATTTAATCCATTGTAAATAGTTATGTGAATATTTCTTGAAATGGGGTCACTCATTGGTATAACTATTGTATTAATATTCTACATTTCATTTTACTATTATGCAATCACTTTATTTAAAATGGTATGCGGAGTATGTGGGTTAATGTAACAAAAGTTCCTATCAAATTGTAAGAAACTAAACTTCTTTCAGTTTCTCAAACATATTATACTTTCTTTTACTTCTTGGACTTCACATAAGTTCTTTCTGGAACTTATTTTTTAACTCAATCTTCCTATTCCTACTTGTAGACACAACTAAGTCCTGATCATATTTTAGGTTTCTGCTCAAATATCCTTTCTCAGTATATCTTTCTGAATTCTCAGACCAGATCTCTGGTTTATGTTCTAAGTAAGTCTTCTAATTTACCAGTATACACATTTTAATTTTATTTCTTGTTTATAGCTCTGTGTTTATTGGCTATAAACTTTTTAAGGGCAGGAAACTATTCTTCTGTCTTCATTTCTGGACACCAGAATCTAGTCCTAGAATTCATGTGATAAACATCTGTTGCATGAGTGGTAAGTGATACTGAGTTATATTGCAAACGTGCAAGTTTGGTTAAAAATCTCATAGGATAGTGTAACAAAATCATTGAAATCAGAACCAATGACCACTATTTGTGCCATTCCCTCCTGAGTAACCTGAATGATGATGTGTAATGATGCTGAACATCCAGGAGACCTGTCTCTTCTAGGGATGGCAACAGGGAACATGGCATGTCCGGTTCTTGGGGCAGGTATGGGCAGATTCAGTGCTTCTCACTATGAAGGATTATTCTGCACTGTATCTAGATTAGATCTTAATAAGATTTAAGGTCTTAATGCACAACTGTAGACACCATACTCTCCTTCTCTGGATTCCTGGCAAGTATCAATAAGAAAGACAGTCATATTTGTTTCCATTTGTGTGACATCCTTTTCACTTTGAAAATAAGAAAATTGTGCTCCAGAAAAGACAGATCTTTTGCCCGAGGGCTTACAATAAGTTAGTGACAAAGTTGAACCTTTCTAAACAGCAAAGTCAAACCTTTCTAAACAGCATATTTTAAGACATTTTGTTGAAGCCCAGTAGTACCTTGTCGCCTCTGCCAACAAACCTCAAGCAGGTGGGAATTTTAAGAAGTCCCGCATTGAGCATTGATATAGAGGTGATTCAACAAGTCACTAGGGACTTGAGGGATTCTAGCACAATACAATTGCAAAATTGTAAAACCTTAGCTCTGTGAGAGAACTGTTCTCATTTAGAGCTGCTGAGTTTTAATAGTCACTGTATTCGTATTAAACTGCATTTTTCTCTTTCCTATGTTTACTTTCTGCTTGTCAAGTAAAAGATCAATGTTTTGGACAGAGAAGGTGACAGGGTTGGCCAAGAAGATTTTGTTTTCCTCAGCTCCTCTGAGTGAGCTCCATCTCATTCAAAAACAGATCAAGCTAAATGTGAAGCAGGAGGCATTTACTGTGCTCCACTTCCCAACTGCCAGGGCCTCACAAGAGGTAACTTCAGGGCTGCGCTGCAAGGCTGTATGGGTTCTGTTTGCATAAGGGTACCCAGCTGAGAGGATGAGACTGACTGAAAAGCATCCTGGGCTGCACTCATCAAGGTATGCCCCAGCATCACTGATACACCAGAGGAAAGAGCACTTTTGCACAAATGCACCCTATGGGTATGAAGTGACCCACACTCACTCATTATCTTGGGCTGGGATATTCCCTTCTTTCTCCCTACTCAGCTACTATGATTGGACCTGAAAGTTCCTAAATAAAGCTGTGTCCTAAAAAGCATTAATTGGTAACTTTAATGCTATTGCTGATCTCCCCATTTTCTTTGTAGTTCTATGCACATTTTGTTTACCAGCAGAAAAAATAGTAAGTTTGATTTACTCATCTTTGGTTAGAAAATTGCTTCTACTTTATTTTGGAGACATAAAAAAGTAGGTAAACTGTTTTCAAATCATAAAGAAAATACTACAAAATAAAATAGATTTCTCTAATATGTTTTGCATTTATTCGACCCATTTTTAAAAACCACCTGGAAAGTTAATATATTTATGTGATATATAAACAGATTTCAGTATATTTTTTAAAAAAACAAAGAATAAAACTTCCTAAAGAGATTTTATACTTTCCATATTTAAATCTTATTAGCATTTTAATTAATGACGTTATTTATAAGCAAACACTGTTAAATGCTGTATTTTCCTGTTGCATTTTTTCCCCTAAGAGTTGAATAACGGGAAGAACACTGTAATTCCATGGTTATGTTTCTGTAAACTTCCATGGCTGAACAAACAAAACAATCACCAAATAGTGGATAGACTTTTCTAAAACAAAGTCTTTCACCATGAATTAAAAAAAATTATTTGTCATTCTCTGCCTCTTGTTGATTTGTATGATCTGACAGATGGATTAAAAGTTGTCCATTAATGTGAGCAGTGAGCTTAGAAACAGCAAAAGGTGCTGGGATTCTCTTTTCTTTTCTTTCTTTCTTGTTTTTTTTTTTTTTTTTTTTTTTGAGACAGGGTCTCACTCTGTCACTCAGGTCACTCAGGCTGGAGTGCAGTGGCATGATCTCAGCTCACTGCAAACTCTGCCTCCCGGGTTCAAGCAATTCTCGTGCTTCAGCCTCCTACACAGCTGGGATCACAGGTGTGTGCCAGCATGCCAGGCTATGGAATTCTCTTCTCCATTTCATGCTCCTGAGTGGCTCTCCTTACGCGGTAGGTCAGGGCCAGTCTGCACCCAGCCTATCTCCCAATTTCCCACCTGTGTTCCAAATGTAGACTCCAAGTAATAGGGAGCTGGGAGTTCTTGGTCCCTACTTCTATTTCCCACAAAGCCTCTCTAAATGATCATTTTGTCATAAATTATGGTGTGCTTGCTCTACAAACACAGCTTAAAGGAATATGTCCTACCTCTGCCTCTACCTTCTCCAAGACAATTCCGACAAGATGTACTTCTTAAATCCTTTTTACATGGAACTTCTGGACTCTTCACTGAAGAGCTCAGCTGTGGCCAGCAGATGCCTGACTATGTATTTGCATCCATTACAAATACCTTGTTAGACCAGGATAGCTCCCCCAAGGGAGTACCTTTCAAAAGAAGGAAAGCTGGGCTTTTAAAACAATGGATAATCTCATAAGGGGTGCTGTTGTTGGTGGTGGGATGTCCCAGCGTTTTTCACTGATAGTTAAGTAGAGCTGCTGTGGAAAAATCCAGGGGTCTAGGTGTTTTTTGGAATATACAAAATAATCAGATTCAAAGCTAGGGACACAAAGTGTCCTGTTTTCTTATTTGTCTTTTGATTTAAAATAACAGAGCCACATGATTTTGGATAAAACTTGGCTCCAGTACTACTAATCTCTAGTTTCTATGTTAATGCTAAGAAAGAGGCAGGGAAAATAACTCACATGGCACTTAACATCCTTCCAGGCACATGCAGCATATTTTATAGGCCTGATACCATTCAGCCTTTCAACAGCCCTCTGGAATGGGCATTTACTATATTTCTCAGATGAAGAAATTGTTGCCCAGGGGTAAAATGCTATTCCCAATTTCACATAGGTAGTAGCTATGGGGATTAAGATTTGAGTTCAAATCCTAAAGACTGTGTTTTTTTTTTTTAATTATATGAATCCATTGAGCTAAAAACAGCTTTGAGGATTTTAAATGCCATCCAGTGACAATTTCTACAAACTGTAGACAAAAGATCCCAAATGTCATTTAGAGTCATTCAGGGGCATTCCTGGTAACTTTAACCCATTCCCCAAATAGAAAATATTATGCTGAGTTCCTATATAATAAAGGCTACTGAGTTGATCACCTGAATTTATCTGTGGATCCAAAGGATTCATCTGATTCCCAGCAATCCACTAAACACAGGAGAGCCAGAATACAAAATAGCATCTTTACCACCAGAACGAAATAGAGATTAAAACTTTTGATGTGGAAGTCAATTTAAGCATATTTGCTTGAAAGTTAATAAACTATTAGACTTTTCAGTATCTATTCACCAGGAATAGAGGCACAATGCAAAACAATTACAGATGAGCAGTCTGCTAAAATCATTATCTATTGACCGAAAATCATCATTATATCAGCATCATAACTTAGATCAATTAAATGTACCAGGGAAATGAAAGCAAATGAGATGAAGTGAAAATAGGATTGCTGAATTTGGCAAAATAAAACAAGAAATGTCTATCAACTTTGAATTTCAGATAAACTACATTTTTTAAAAGTATAAGTACATCCCATGTAATATTTAGTAAGCACAAACCTGCACATTGTGCACATGTACCCTAAAACTTAAAGTATAATAATAATAAAATAAAATAAAATAAAATATTCACCATTTATAATAAATTTAAATTTAACTAAGTTTAACTGTATTTTTATCTGGTAGTCTTAAAGCAAATGCTATATACAGTTTTACAGGGAACTTAGTCATTCTAATCAATAAAATAATAGCTAACATTTTCATATCAGTTATCCTTTAAGCACTTTATAAATGCTAATTTATTTACACAACCCTATAAAATAGGTACTATTATTCCTATTTAGCAAATAAGAATATTGAGATAGTAACAGATGGATTTGCCCATTGTCATGCAACTAGTGGCAGAGAAGGGGTTTGAACCCAGAAGGTCCTGTTATAGAGTTTAACACTCTAACCACTTCAGATACTGTCTCCTATGAAATGTATCAGTGAATTCAAAATCCTACAAATTGCACATAGATTGATAACTCTTGAAAATAGTATTCAACACCATATTAACGTGCATCATGCACTTACTTTACCCAAGGCCTCTTTAACAGACAGCAACAGTAAACTTAATATTCCATCTTCACTGATCATATTTTCTCTCTTCAAATGGTACTTCAGAAATTGGTAATACCTCATGGTCATTGTTCAGAATATCTGTTATTGTGTTACATATATCAAAGGGCAAAATAAAAAAATTGATTTAAATTTCATAATTTAATTATATATATAAAGGGTATATATAGATATATAATTATATATATATATATTCTAGCCAGAGAACACTTAAATTACAGATACGAAAACAGATCTTCTTTCTCATAAATTTTAGATTTGATTCTATATATGGATGTTTAATACACTTTATTTCCTACAGAGATAAGAGAAATTAAAGATTTGTTGTTGGATTTATTCATTTAATAAAAGATCAATATAAGCTGGAATTTTTATCCTTTGGATACTGGTACCACAGAATTTCTTTAATTTGGAGTGTCCTGATACTTTAATCTTAAATTGCAATTAGATTAATGCTTAAGTAATCTTCAAAAGTCAGTATATCTAAGTAAGTCCCATTAGAATGGGACTTCAGGCCAGGCACAGCGGCTCACGCCTGTAATCCCAACACTTTGGGAGGCCAAGGCCGATGGATCGCTTGAGCTCAAGAGTTCGAGACCAGCCTGGGCAACATGGCAAAACCCTATCTCTACAAAAATACAAAAATTAGCCAACCTTGGTGGTGTGTGCCTGTGGCCCCAGCTACCTGGGAGTCTGAGGTAGGAGGATCGCTTGAGTCCGGGAAGTGGGGTTTGCAGTGAGGCAGGATTGTGCCACTACACTCCAGCCTGGGAGACAGAGCAAAACAATGTCTCAAAATAAAAAAAAAAAACACAAAACAAACCAAGAGGTTGCCTTTAAACGAACATGTTTCAAATAATAAATATCCAATTCCTTTTTTCTTGAACATCACCTTGCACAAGAACCCAAATATATTTGTCCAAAAATGCACATTTCTATGCCCAACACAGACCTAATAAC
Source organism: Homo sapiens (assembly GCF_000001405.40). NCBI lineage: Eukaryota > Metazoa > Chordata > Mammalia > Primates > Hominidae > Homo > Homo sapiens. The sequence continues at coordinate 84,041,297 of NC_000005.10, forward strand.
ATCAGAATCTCTGGGGATAAAATTTAAGAATCTCCGTTTTCAGCCAGCCCATGCCACCAGCTGATTCTGATGCAGGAGGTCTCCAAACCATGCTTTGAGAAAATGACTTTGACACCAACATGTAAGAAGATACAGGCAGCTGGTGGTGTGCTTTTTCCCACTGAGATCTTTAAAGCTGCTTTATTTTTAGAATTTTCCCTATTTCTCATTACAGAGCTTTAAGACAGCTTGTAGAAAATGTGTGTGTGTGCATATATATATACATATATAGTATATATATGTATATACTATATATGTATATATGTATATACACACATATATATGCACACACACATATACATATACTTACATATATACTTATATGTATATACTTATATACTTATATTTGTGTATATCTCTACCTATATATATATATAGATATATATAAAATTTAGTGTTGCAGTCTAAAGGACTTTGGATTCATTACCGTGTATTACAGATTTTCCCACATCGTAAGGCATATGCCTAACAGAACAGATGGGTCCTGTGGTATTTAACAAAGGGCCATCAAATCCTACAGCTTTGGGGATTAAAACCCTACAGTGCTTTTTCATGAAATAAACAAAGATTGAACCTTTAATAGGTGGTAGGATGTTAAGAATGGGGTGAAAAGTGACTCAGAGTTTAACTCAAATAATAGTTGTTCCACTCATTTACCTTAAACCCTCTTAACCACATTTGGTTTTGCTAATTATGTTGCATATAGAATAGCAATAGTAATCATATACACCCAATGCCATAATGATAATACAACCCTGAATGTAACTGCTATCAAATTTTGTTCCATATTTTATTTTAAAACTATAGGACAAGGTATCATAAAAATAGAAATTAATAATGTAATTAATAATGGCTATAAATATCACTTTGCTTTTTTTTCTTATGATGGGTAACCTTGTACAAAAACCTTCTTATCATTTTCAATAGCATTAAAAAATAGTGCAAATGGAAATTTTTTTTTTTTTGAGACGGAGTCTTATTTGTCGCCCAGGCTTCAGTGCAGTGGCTTGATCTCGGCTCACTGCAACCTCTGCCTTCTGGGTTCAAGTGATTCTCCTGCCTCAGCCCCCCGAGTAGTTGAGATTACAGGTGCCCGCCACCATGCCTGGTTAATTTTTGTATTTTTAGTAGACATGGGGTTTCACCACATTGGCCAGGCTGGTCTTGAACTCCTGACTTCAGGTGATCTGCCTGCCTCGGCCTCTCAAAGTGTTCGGATTACAGGCATGAGCCACTGCTCCTGGCCTGACACTATTTTTTTAATTGAACCTATTCTACTGAGTAAAAGTAAACAGGCACACCCCTGCTTCCTTTAAATTTTTTTTATTTAGAGGACACAAAGCATGAGAGGAGAAAATATATTGGATACAGATATCTTGTTATTCAAAGAGCCTATAGTATGGCTTGTTAAATGAGGAAAATCTGTAACGCAAAAAATAATGATGCTTTCATAGCAGAGTTCCTATTACTCAACACGTGGGAAAGCCTACAAAATGTCTACTGCTTATGTTTGGTGTCCCATTTTAAAACGGTGAATATCCTAATATGTATTCTACATTAAAGTTTAATGTATGTCAGAACCTTTCATTGGAACCAGCAGACAGAAATTTACTTATTAACATAGAGAAATGAACATAGAAATGAACACAGAGGAGGCAAAACCAAAGCATGTGAATATCTGCAGAAGGACAAACTAAAGTTAACATAAAGACAAGTAGTAGCGATGATCCTCTGTCATTTTAAGCAAGAGAAAACAGTTTTAAAGAAAGTTAAATGCAGTTTAAGAAACGGGACAAAATTTTTACAACTTGAGTGACAAATAAGTATTTGTGTACTGTTGTAAACTTCTTTGAGGAACTGTTTCTCAGAAAGTAAAAGTGTTCACTTGTTACTTTCCTTGCTTAGAGTGGTCCATGCATATGACTCATTTTATTCATGACAGGGGTCGACTATTCCTCAGGTATATCTGGGTTAACTTTAGCTTATGTGCACCATTCTGAAGATGAAATTGATAACAATGCTTTGGATTCATTTAGATAATTTCAAATGCTTGGTTTACACAGATATGAACAAAAAATTGATGAAATTGTTTGTTATATGAAGTAGGAACAGAGGCACGCAGTGAACTGGAAAACCAAGTTTGCGGATACACATATGTTGTATATATTGTGCTGTACTGAAAAAATCATGTTGATGCAAAAAAAGGCTGTTAAGGTTAAACCACATTCTATGTGATGTCAGCCACAGGCAGCCATGAAAAAATGGAACTCAACAGAAAAGGGAGAAACTGGATTTTTGGGTCAAGTTCTGCCATTTGCAGGATTAAGTCATGTAATGTCAGCAAATTGTATTTTTCATGTTTTGAGACAGGGTAATTTATACAAATAATATGTACACATTATACATGTGTATACATATGTACACATATTATTAGAAAGATACAGTAAAAAAAATAGAAAAGCCCTTTGAAAACAACAAAGTGCTATAGAAATACAATTTAATTATTACATGATATTCCAAAGCGGTTCCTATAGGATATTAGGGTAGTTATTTTTATTTTTATTTTTTATTTTACTTTAAGTTCTGGGATACATGTGCAGAATGTGCAGGTTTGTAACATAGGGATACATGTGCCAGGGTAGTTCGCTGCACCTATCAACCCGTCATCTAGGTTTTAAGCCCCACATGTGTTAGGTATTTGTCCTAATGCTATCCCTCTCCTTGACCCCACCCCTCGACAGGCCCCTGTGTGTGATGTCCCCCTCCCTGTGTCCATGTGTTCTCATTGTTTAAATCCCACTTATGAGTGAGAATATGCGGTGTTTGGTTTCCTGTTCCTGTGTTAGTTTGCTGAGAATGATGGTTTCCAGCTGCATCCATGTTAAAAAGCACTCCATGAAAAATAAGTTAGAAAATCATCAACTAAAAAGAGTTAAACAACTCCCTTTCCTACAGGACTCTTAAGAGTCTTTACTATGTTAATATGCATGTGAGAAATTAAGAACATAAAAGAGGATATAGAATTTACAAAATGTATTTCAGCCCAGAACCATTTTTTTTTTGGAATTACTGCTTACCTTATGGGAGTAGTGATTTTCAGGATACATCTTGGAAAATGCTGATACAATTTGTTATTCGGAGAGAAAGAGAATGTAATTTGTTTTAAAGGACTGCATTTTTAGGACGAAATTTTCCTAATTAGATCAGTTCAAAATCAAAGCAGGAAAAGAAGGTCATTTTGAAAACTGGGTCTGTCGTCAGAAGAACCCAAATCTCGTAGTGGAACTATCTGAAGAAAGGGTCATCTGGATAATGGAAATTTTGTGTTGGGCTAGTAGTTTTGGATTCACAAAAAGGACTAGGAACCAAGAGCTCTGCGGGCGGTAGAAAGCCTAAGGTGGATGTCAGCTATGGCAGCAAGCTAGACCCATGTGTACTAAGAAGCCAGAAGTCGAAGTGGCAGCAGTTGGCACCATAAGAGCCAGGGCAGTTCCTGAAACTTCAACAGAGATGAGGGTGGGCTGCCGAGAAACAACCAATTACCCTTCAGGGGGCAGGCCAGAGCTGGAGTGTAAAGCCAAAGAGTAGATACATTAGTCCATTTTCACACTGCTGATAAAGACATACTCAAGACTGGGTAATTTACAAAGAAAAAAAGGTTTAATGGACTCACAGTTCCACATGGCTAAGGAGACCTCACAATCACAGTGGAGGCAAAAGACATGTCTTAGATGGCCATGGGGAGAATGAGAGAATGAGGGCCAAGAGAAAGAGGAAAACCCTTATAAAACCATCAGATCTCATGAGACTTATTCATTACCATGAGAGAGGTATGAGGGAAACTGCCCCCATGATTTAATTATCTCCCTCTAGGTCCCTCCCACAATGCATAGGAATTATGGGAGCTACAATTCAAGATGAGATTTGGGTGAGGACACAGCCAAACCATATCAGTAGATAAACCAATCAACAAGCAACCAGCAAAGCTCAGGTGGAGAAGAAGTCAGGGGAGGAGAGCAGTAAGACACATATCAGAAACTGTCAGAAGTAGAGGGCAGGTCAAATGGCAAGAGCAGCATAAAGATTCTTTGACTGGGCCTGGGCAAGGAACCTAAGCAATTAGTTCAGAAGTCAAAACTTTGGTTGGCTTTAATACTAAGGTCACAATCTCTTCTAGTGAAAAAAAAATGTACATCTATTTTTTAAAATATAAACTAATTCCAGAAAGTTATTACCTAGAAGCTGCAAGCAGATAAATGTGTCCTTAGTCACATCTTAAATAATCTCAGAAAAGAATTTTACCAAAGATCAATACAGAAAAGGCTTTGTCTAGGTCCAGAAGACACACTATGCTAAAGAATTATAATAGCGGCATAAAACGAACAAAGACATTAGACATTTGAAAGTCACTTCACTGAGGCATGTTTTCCTTGCACAAATGCTAATTGTATTAATTAAAAAGAAATGAATGCAAAATTTTCTATAAATAAATTTTATTTTGATATCAGCCAGCAAATCAATACTTCATAAATGAGAGACATTTACAATCATAAATGTAAACAAAAAGTGAACTACCTATTATTATAGCATTACTGGCTTTGAGGAAATATTACAAAAGTCTCTAGGATAAACCAAAGCAATTGAGCCAGGTGAGCTTAACTATGAGCAAGCTCGCTGGACAGAGCAGGGTTCTCTAAAACATAATGTATGAATAACAAACATATCGTTGGGTTGTGGGCAGAAAATATTAGAGTTTACATTCCTATTTCCTATTTGTTTTATTTTAAACCAAAAATGTAGGAATTGCATTTTCCAAATATTTCATACATGTGTATGTGTGTGTATCCAATGCTCAGGAGCACTGGAAGGGATATACGATTGTTACAATGTGGCACCACAAATTTAGAGGGCAAGCTGAATCCACAGAATCTGCAGAGCCTGGCTGGACCCACCAGGAGCTCTTATTCAAGACAAGATAAGTGACCAGAGCTATGCTGGTCAGGACTGGGCATTGGAGAGGCTTCCTAATCCAACAGATATCCCCTGAAAAAAATGAGTCACTTCAATCATTATAATAGTCTAGAAAATACTGTGGTAAAAATCATCTCATAGGCTTCCTGACAAGTGCTGAATCCCCTTTAGACCACTGACTGGCTCTGCAATCTTTAACAAGCTTCTCTGACTCTTCATTATAAAGCAAACATAACTTAGCTCACGGAGAGGGCTGCTTTAAAGACAAAATGAGATTACTGATTACAATTGATTCTAATTTTATTTAAAAGCCTTTACAAATGCTCATAATATTTGAAACAGTATTCCCAAGTTCTAAATTTTACTCATTGGCATATTTTCAGTTCATATTTTTAGAAGAGAATGGTTACCATTCTTACAGCTATGCTTTGTTGCTACAAAGATAACTAATACGCCACAAACGAAAATTCATTTGCACACACAGGAATCAGAAGTCATCTAATTTGCATTATCATAAAACAGGAGCAGGTCTGCTGTGCACATGAAATTCTTTTAATTTCTGTCGTGGTTTTTCAATGGTTTCAATACCACTTCTAAGCAGAAGCATTCAACATCCTACACTTCTGTTTCTTGCTTTTGGAATTTTGAATTAATGACAATTATGGCATCAGTAATCATACATGCAGGCAGACATAATACTGAATATGTCTTTCAGTTCCTTGCACCTGACATTGTGTTTTGTTATAACAGGTGCCCCAAATATACTTATTTTAATTCAAAAAGTATAAAGTCATTTAAAATAACCTCCAAACCATAAAGGTTCCATGCATTTTTTAATGTACCACTAGAGCTTGTCTTTCTGAGATTGTACCCTGTATCTGGGGTTAATCTATTTCCTTCTCTTTGGCACCAGAAACTATTACTTTGGGCCTTTTTCATGATTTTCTATATGCAAGCACTTACTTATTAAATATTAAGTAAGTATTTAATAATCACTTACTATATCTTACTTCCTTGTCTTATGGAAGTTTTTGTTTTCTAAGCTGTTTTTAGAGAGATGTAAGATACTAAACCAAATAAATGACTCAAAATTAGAAGGGATGGAAAGGTAGGGGCAATATTTTGAGTATTAAGTAGATGTGTTATTCATTGTATAAAAGTTAACTTTTTATAGGTCTATTTGAAGGTTAGATGGCTATATCTGTATCAATAATTGTTACATGACTTTTTATTAGCTTCATACTTGTGCTACCTTGTGAAGAAATTAGCTGGTGTCTTGATAATTTTCTGATTTCTTTGGATTCGTCCAGTCATGATTTAGACACCAGAATTTTACTTGTGTGAGGAATTTTAAAAGGAGAAGATAGGCTGGGGCTGATCTTTTTTTGTAGTATCTCCATTTTACATAAAAAAAGAAAGAATATTGAAGTCTCAGAGTATTGATATAATTTGTCAGCCCTCACATCTATATTTTGTACCTCAAATTATGCACTCCTTATACTACATTGATATTGGCTGCACTTTTGTTTGCACTTAAGTATTTTCTGTACAAATGTCCTTTCAATTTTGTTTTGTTTATAAAAAGTTCTTTTTTCTAATTGGATAGTGGGGATTCCCTTTGACATCATAAAATTATAAAAATCAAAAAGATTTCTTATTCATGGTATGTGGTTTAAAAAAATGAAAAAATACATAAAGATGACTTATAGTCCTAGGAAAGTGTGAGCATCCTTCGATTCACTTAGCACACTCCAACATATGTCAATACTATAGAAGAACGGAAGCTGTCTCACAATCATATACAAGTTTCATTACTTGACCTCTTTTAGATCTTCTTTATAGGTGAACCTTCATAAATGAGAAATATTGGAACTGTGATTTGGAAATCAGAATAATCCTTCATATTGACAAATGTTTCCAGTGGCCTGGTGGTCACTTAATTTTGAAAACCTTTCCTTTAGTTCTCCTGTAAATAAATTGTTCAGAAGGCAAAATAAGTTAATGCTTTAATGAAGTTATAAATTTTATGTCTAGAATACTCCCTTTTAAAAATCTGACATGGACTAAATTAAATAAGGCTTATTTAATTTGAAAGCTTAAATTCAATTGATTTCTTATACATTTTCACAAAATTAGTATTGAAATGAAAATCTGTAGGGTCAGACGCAATTTTGATAAAGGTCAACACTAAAATGTTCAGTCTAACAACTCTATTAATTCTACTAATTTGGTTGAAATACTATGCAGACTACCTTAAATTAGCAAATGTCTTATGAAATAGACCAAAAGATCATTTCTTAGGTGGGATTGTGACATTTTCCTTCCTGTTAGTCCTTTATATTATGTTACCCTTTATGAAATCTGAAAAACGTTTAGTAGATTTAATTATGAATAGTAAATTATCCATTTTCTATAGTCACCACCAATACGGCAATGAATACATACACAATGTATTCATTATAACAAAATTTGTAGTATTTTACTTTAAAATAAGTTTTTAGTTAATCCAAGTTAATTCTTTGAGTGCAGTTTGTTTAGTTCCGTGAACAAAACCAAAATGAATCAGCATATTTCTTCACAATTAATAGCATGATCATTAGCAATGTCCCTGCTCCTCATAGAATGTCTTTAAGCATCTTAACAATGTTTAATTTCAATTTGTCTAATCTGAGCAGAAGTAAAAAAGAAATTAATCTTTCTGTTGAAAGCCAGTGATAACAGACACAAAAACACATAACTGCTTTAGTAAAAATACAGTTTCAGTAGAGAAGATTGGCAAATGATAAATTACTCACTTTAAATTATTACTACTGGGTAAAGAAGCTGAAAAATCTGATGCTACCTAGATATAGACATTTCAAAGTTTTTATGTGCCAATGCCAATATATATAATT